>NC_000001.11:205911859-206063374 GCF_000001405.40 Homo sapiens
GCTCCTGGGAAGGACTGGCGGGGTAGAGCCCCACTTGCCTTTCACAGTGGCTCTTTCTTGTGTTGGCTTTCTCTGCCTCCCTGTTTTCACTCTTGCCCATCACTCCTCTCCCTGAAATCATTGCCTGAATAGCCCATGCAGACTTTTGTCTCAGGTTCTGCATCCAGGGGGAATCAGGCTAAGATAGCATCATTAGAAAAAAAGTCTAAAACTCCTATGAGAGGGATGCTAATTGCTTATTTACCCAAATCCCACAGCTCAGCTGAATAGCAGGTAAAGCAAGATTAGTTTATCTTAAATAAATATCATTTTGGGACTCATTGACTTCTCTGCCTCTGCAACGTATCCTCTTCCTTCAACTGTTTCTCCTTCTTCTAGTTCTCCCCATCTTTTTTTTTTTTTTTTTTTTTTTTAAGAGATGGGGTCGCACTATGGGTTGGCCAGACTGGTGTTGAACTCCTGGCTTCAAGCAATCCTTTAAATCTCCAGAGTTTTGGGATTACAGGTGTGAGCCACTGTGCCTGGCCCTGTGTATCTCCATACCAATGACCATTCATCTCCCTTCCCTCTTTGTTTTGTCTAATCTCTGGTCCTTCATCTCTTTCCACTTCATCCTCTTTCTGTCTCCTTTATGCCTTTGCTTTTTGTTTTTCGTGATTCCTCTTATCTTCTTCCCTTTCTGATTGCTGGTAAACACAGTTGACAGTCAACCTAGCTTGTATGACACTTGAATCCCATGGCTTTGCTCTCCTTGCATTGTCTCACAAACAGGGGAGCGAAAGGTGGGATTAGATTGTGTGCTGCCCCACACTAAGGATTCTGAAGGGTTTGCTAAGTAACGATGGGATCCCATGAATGTGAAAGAATTAGTGAGTGAAAGGTATGCAGAGGGATGATGGGGCTTTGACATCCCCTATAGCCACAAAAATCCAGAGTTGGCTCTAGATACTCGTCCTGGGTGTGTGGACCCCTCAGCCCAATCTTCTCTCCCCAGTTTCTGTTCTTTAGCTGGATTGTGGAAGTTTATGCATTCCCAGGATGGAAAATCGAACCTGGAGAGGAGCTGGGAGACCTACAGAGAAATCTGAGTCCTCGTTGCTTCCCCCGCCCGGGATAATGCAAAGCAAGGCCAGGTCTCTGTGGAGGTGACTTGTTTTGCTTTTCTATAAAACCACCCAAACATGTGCATTTGTTCACAATTCAAATCCAGTTTATTACCAAAATGAACAAAAGGAGAATGAGGCTTAAATTAAATAAATTATGCAAATATCTCAAGAGATAAGGTTCCCAGTCCTCCCTGGGAATTATATTATCACAGGTCAGTATCACTAAGAACATTCAAAAGCATTGAAATTCTGGATTATTTCACTACTTTGCCTCCATCTTTCCTGCTTCAACCAGGTCCAGAAGAGTGTTCTTTTCCAAATATTCCAGCAGAGATGTTTTCTTCAATGTCTTCCCTCTGCCTCATGTGTTTCCAATCTTACCTCCACAGCGGGCTCTGCAACCCTCAGACATGTGGCAGATCTCTCCCTGAGCCTCAACTCCAGGTCACTGGGTCAACAATCTCCTTCAGTTCTGAGGCTGGTCTGGGGGTTAATGATTACTTGGGGGTTAAGGATCACTTCATCAAGTCCTCAGGGGATCTAGATACTTGGTTCAAAGGGGACTCTGACTTGGAAATTCCTGAGGCTCTGTGACCTTCTCCCACCTCCTGGGCCTGAGCTGGACTTGGAAGGAGGTGGAGTAGGGGAGAGTGAGTTGTCATTGGCTAAGGCTCTTGTCCTCCTGGAATTTGGCACTTCGGGTGCTGGGCACGGTGAATCCCAGATAACATTGTCCTTCGCCTTCCAAGTTTTGAGTTCCATTGGCAGCCAGATGGCATAATGAATTCACAGAAAAGCAATGCTCCTGGGCCAAGAATGTGTTGGCTCTTGGCCAGCACCCCCTCCTTTAACTCTAAGAAGACTTGTTAGCTGACCAGCTCACTCAACACACAGACACACAACGCAGGTCTGGCTGAAGTTAGAAATGGGGATGTTTTCCTAGGCTGGGCCAGCCCAACCTGTTAGGGAAGGGGTTGTTAAGCTGAAGAAGCTTGAGAAAAGCAGTGATGAGAGGCCAGAAGATTTTCTGTGCATTTCCACTGAAATTTTACAAAACACTTACACATGGAACCTATTTATTTTCAAGTCAACAGTAGGGTTCCTCTCAATACCTCCTTGTACATATGGAAAACTTAACCCCTATTTTCATCTTCATAGGAGAAGATGGCCTGAGGTCCTAAGGGTGTTAAAGAGTCTTCCTGTGCAGGAAGACCCAATCTGGATCAGCCCCTTTCCACATCTGCATGCAGTTAGGGGATGTAGCGGATCCCTGGAGGACTTCCACCTTTGCCTACAGAAGGACCCCATTGTGTCTCTGGGCCACAGGCTGATAAGGAAGAGTTAACATGATTGGCTCTTTGCCAGGTAAAGAAGGATAAGGCAGATTTACCAAAGGGAGGCATTTCCCTGATGGGCCCTGGGGTCAAGGGGGACTGTCTGGGCCCAGGTCCCATCCGTTTTCCCTGTGTTGGTACTAGCACCCTCTTCCCCTCTGAGTCTCTGGGTGCAAAGAGGAATTCCCAAAAGTTTTGTGCAGAATAACTGGTATCTATTACTAGGATGCCAGATGATTCTGCCAGCTACCCATCCCCCTCTTTGGGGTTTCTAGCCAGCCTCCAGGGGAAGGGAGCAGCCTCTGAGGGCAGTGATGTTTCAGGAGGCTGAGGCAGAACCTTAGTGGGCTGTCCCCGGGGAGGTAGCTCTGGTGGTCTCGACGGTCCTGGCCACTGTCCAGGCTAGAGTCTGATGTGCTTGCTGACAGCAGTGGTGGTTTGGGCAGCCTTGGGGATGATGGAGGGGGGGCGCATAGTTACCAAGGCCTAGACTCCTGGGTGTGGAGAGCACATGGTCCCTGGGTGCAGAGCTGCCAGAGACAGAGTTGAGGCAGCTGGGGAAGGCAAGCCAGAGTCCTAACCAAGTTTATCCCTATGTCCGTGACAGCCTGACACCATCTGACACCGAGCCGTGTGGGCTCTGGGACACTTTTTGAAGCTTGTACAGCAGGCCAGCACAGTTGTACTTGTCCTTCTGTTTTTGGCTCACTCGTAAAAGCTGGAAGTCAAGGTGTCCTTCAGCTGCCAAGGACAGGGCAGAGGTGGGTGGGGTGGAGTGAGCAGGAGGCTTGTCCATTGCGGCCAGGGCCTGACGGGTGAAGAGTGGGCTCACCAGACTCTCACTCCTGTAAGGGTAGCACCCCCCTGCTGCTGAGAGGCTCTCTCTGGAGATGCGGGGAGGGAAGGAAGGGAGGAGAGAGGGGGAGAGGAGAGAGGAACCCAAGCTCTGGGGGATGCACTTTCCTCCGCCCGACACCCCCTGTGACCCCAGGCTCATCCTTTATGGAAGTCCCAAGTGCCAGGCACTCTGTAGGCAGCATGAGGACTGGCTGAGCCCTCACAGGGCGGTCAGGGTCTCTGCGTGAAACATGCTCCCGAACATCTCCTGCAGGAACCACAGGAAGGAAGTGGGAGGGGAAGAGAGAGGTTAGACCAGTTGGGGTCACAGTGGCTGCAACCAAGAGGTGACCCTAGGAACCCCTGGCCAGAACAAAGCACCTGTGTGTGTGTGTGTGTGTGTGTGTGTGTGCGAGAGTGTGTGTGAACAGGGGAGAGGCAGGGTCAGCCTAGGAGGTGAACCAGTCCAGCGTGGCAGGAGCAGGTGCTGAAATCTACATGTGAATCACCTCCTGTGTGCTGTGTGACCTTCCACGTGTCCCTCGCCCCCTAATAGCTTCACTTTCCTCATTGGGTAAAATGAGGGTTGGCAGTAGACAAGCTCTGAAGTCCTTTCTCACGTTGATAAGCTATTTTGGTCCTATCCAGGCTTTTTGGAATGTGCTGGAGATTCCAAGAGGGCACCGAAATCAGTCTGCCAAATCTCTGTGGCTCCAGCTCTATTTTCTAATCTGTCCCACCTGCCATCAGCACTGTGAGAGACGGATTCAGAGCACCATGGAGCTCAATGTCAAAAAGAATGGGAAGAGGCACAAAGAGAGACACTACTTCTCATAGACCCAAAGCCAGATTTCTCCAAACCTAGTCATCTGGTTTCTTTTAATTCAGGGCATTGGTGGGGTGGTGTTAATCCAGGGGCCCTATGGGGATGGTGATCCCTCATATCCACATATCTTTTAGGTTTTGTTTTGTTTGTTTTTGAGACAGTCTAGCTCTGTCACCCAAGCTGGAGTGCAGTGGCACGATCTCGGCTCACTGCAACATCTGCCTCCCAGGTTCAAGTGATTCTCATGCCTCAGACTTCCGAGTAGCTGGGACTACAGGCATGCACCACTACGCCTGGCTAATTTTTGTGCTTTTAGTAGAGACGGGGTTTCGCCATGTTGGCCAGGCTGGTCTCAAACTCCTGACCTCAGGTGGTCCGCCCACCTCAGCCTCCCAAAGTGCTGGGATTACAGGTGTGAACCATTGCACCCAGCCACATATTTTTTAGTTCTTAAGGCTTGTCCACATGCAATAATAATTCATTTGTAGACCCAGAATCCATCTATTCTACCATAACGTAAGTTTCTAAAAGGCAGAGGCCTTTGTTTTGCTCACTGCTATGTGCCCATCCTGAACTGTGTCAGGCAAACAGTAGGTACGCCATAAATACCTGCTGAATTAATGAAAGAACAAGTGACTGCCCTGCCAATCTTGTGTGGTGGATGGGACAGGTATTACCTATGTTTCCCCTAATTTCACAGATGATAAAAACTAGGGCCCAGGGTGTATGTGGCTTGCTCAGGGTCACGTGGGTGATGTGTTGGAGAATAAGAATAGATACTGGTTCTCTAGGACTTGGTCCAGTGACTCACCCTCTCCCCACGATAACTTTCAGGGAGTGAGAAGAATGAAAACAAAGGCCAGGCATCGTGGCTTATGCCTGTAATCCAGGCACTTAGGAGACCGAGGCAGGCAGATTGCTTGAGATCGGAAGTTCGAGACCAGCCCAGCCAACATGGTGAAAAGCTGTCTCTACTAAAAATACAAAAATTAGCTGGGCGCAGGCCTGAAGTCCCAGCTACTCGGGAGGCTGAGGCAGGAGAACCTCTGGAACCCGGGAGGCAGAGGTTGCAGTGAGCTGAGATCATGCCACTGCATTCCAGTCTGGGTGATAGAGTGAGACTTTGTCTCAAATTAAAAAAAAAAAAAAAAGAAAAGGAAAAGAAAAAAAACAAAGATGACCACAAATCTTTGTGGCCTTGAATGTGACTGCTCTGGGCTGGAGGTGAGACAGCTGAGTGAACGCCTTGTATTTGACAGCGACCCCATCCTTCCCCTCTTCGCCCTGCTCCCACCCTCACAGCCCCTTCCCTCAGCTCACCTGCTCTAAGTCCCAGTAGCTGCGAATGTCCTCCTCTGAGTCGTACAAGGAGAGCTCAGCATCCCCTGGAGCCTGGAAGGGAGGAAGCCAGTGCAGAATGAGCTTCAGTGACTGAACAGCAAAGTTGGTGCATGGTGGCAGGAAAAGGGACAGGTGGCCGGCTCTGGTTGGACGCTGCTTCCTGACACATGACTTATCCTCTTGCCCCTTCCCTTACCTGCCTCACAAAAACAGCACGGCTGTGGTCTTCCCCCTTATACCAGACAGGTGTGTATCGCGGTCTTCCCTCCTTTGTGGGCCGTTAGAGGCAGGGAAGGTTTTACTCAGCTTAGAAAAACTATTGGCTAGCTGCCTGACCTTGGGGAATTCCTGTCCTCCTGGGAATATATTTTCTAATCTGTTCAAGTCTGATAACCAGCCTCACTTTGCCTGCTTTGTCCCTCACAATGCTGTTGAAAAGGTGTGTGTTTATGTGTGTGATTTGTATCTGTGAATGGTCTATAATATGTAAGTATATATTATATAAAATATAAATTATTTATAAGTCTATGACTAATCAAGTATACATACCAACTAGAGTAGCTGAACATGATTAGGGCACTAACAACTAATGCAGCTTCCTCCAGAATCTCCCTCTTTGCTCTGCGGACAAATTCACGAAGCAGGAAAGCCCGTTGTTTCCCCAGGGTTTCCCTCTAGGCATGGAGGGCAGGAGCCAGCGCCCTGTGTGTTCCTGGGCAGTCTTTCAGCACTTAGAACAGATGGTTTCACCTTCATCAGTCTCTTAAGGCAAAGAGCAAATCATTGCTCTAGGGCCAGAAAAGCCTTTCTTATGACCCACAGAGGGCAGGGGAGGTTTTTACCCAGGGCTGGGGCACAACAAGAGTCTTGGGAGGCCAAGGGCAGGAGCTGAGCTGGGAGGGGACCCTGAGGGCTAGAGATGACTGGGGATCTGGGCAGGGACCCCAAGGAGGTAGGCTTTTTCTGACTCCCCAGTCTTCTGGAGTTTTAGATGGTGTTATTTGTATCCCATTTGTAACTTACTGAGCTAGTAAATTAAATGTCAAAAAGCTGAGACAAAACTCAGACCCAATCTCTTTATCCCTCACCAGCCTGAAATCTCTAAGCTCCGGTAAGTTAAAATGGGTAGGCTTACTCCCCTCCCCTCCCTTCCCGAAAGCCCCCTTTAGAAAGAGATGAGGAGGAGGCAGGGAACGATGCCAGCAGAGTGGGCCTGCTCTACTATGCTTTGGGTGTTTGTGCAACCAGAAAACTTATATTGATAAAGAATTTTTACAATACACAAAGTGCTTTCAAGTGACACAAAAGATGTAATTATCATTTAACCCTAAAACAAAATAAAAGAAAAATGCAGAGAGGTAGGTAATGTTAGTTGATGGTGCTCATTCTATAGATAAGGAAACAGATTCAGAAAACTGAAATGGCAGACTTGATATTGGAACTTAAACCTTCTCCTGTGTTCTTTCTAATAATGCCTCTTGGTCCTGCTATTTCAGTGCCTTGGAGCCTAGGATTCCCCAGGTGCAAGAACCTTACCCCTTGGAAGTTGTGTCCTGGGGTCACGTCTCTAGCATTTGCCTGGGCAAAGAGGACTGCGTCATGTATGCTGGGAAAGACGTGCTTGCATTCTAGACTCCCATCCTCAAAGACGCCTCCATGGCTAATGTCATTGTACACCTGGGCTAGAAGGAGAAAAGATCACCTTCAGAAAGATAACAGCCATTGTGGATTGGAGCTGGGGGTGGGGAAGATAGTGAGACCAGAGCAGGGATGGGAGAGGCCTGAGGTCCCAGCTCTTGCTGTATCTGAGGGCCATGGCATTGGCAGTGCAATATCAGTTTTGGACGGCAGAGGGCAACATGAACTTGAGGATGCTGAAGTTTCAACCCAGAGCAGAAGGAAGCAGTTTGATTTAGGGAGTCAGTACTTTGTGGTGATTCGAGTGGAAAAGCCTAAGCCATCCTTGAAGAGGCCGCTGCCAGTTCTATCCCCCAAGGACCCATCCTTCCTCTTGTTTTCCCAGACCTTTCCAGCAACTTCCAATGTGTGGCATTGGAAGTTTGTGTGGATTACTCTTAATCCTAGAGATGGTTTCCTGAGGGGGTGTCCAGTGAGGTTGGGGAGAATCCACTGCTTCTAACTCCAGAACATATCATAGCAGGTCATTGCCACTGCAGATTCTCTCCCCGAACGTGGCCATGCGGAGCTTGGGAACTGCAGCCCTGCTGGAGGGGGTCTGACCCAGTGCAGGGAGCTGGGTGTGTGTGTATGTGCCCCTTCACATTCTCCTGTGTGTCTGTGTGCACTTGCTCCCACATCTCTGCACTTTGCGTACATGCTAGTCATGTAAATGTCTGCTGCCCTGTGGCCACGTCCTTGAGGCTGTGTATATGCACCCTTTGGAGGCTGTATGCCTACAAAACTGCATATTTATATGTTCCCTGGGGAATTAGGGTACCGTGTGCTCTATGCCTATATCGATTCACAGAGTTTCTGATTGGGAGAGGATCCCCAAATCCATCTAGTCAACCCTCTCGTTTTACATAGGTAGAAATAGATCCCTTGAGAGATAAAGTGACTCGGCCAAGGATACGTGGCAAATTAGTTATGGGGTAGATTAGAATCCTAGCTGTCCTTCTGTAACTCCATGACCTCCTCACCCCCACTCTGTCACTAAGGCCCCTAGGATGTTTATGCAATCTGACCAGTCTCTTTGGACTTGTACCTGAAGCTTTTATGAGCAGGCAGCAGCTTGTGGGGGATAGCTGGGTGCTCTCGTTTCCAACCTCCTCACTATTCAGACCCCACCAACCTGTTCCTACCCCACACTCCTTGCCAGTCTTTCAGTCCCTAAATGTCCTCTTTCTCTTACCATGGATGTTCACCAAGAAGACCTTCACGCCGATCTTCCCATAGGTGGAGCTCAGCTAGAAGTGTTGTTGGGGTAGGGAGGCAAAAGGAAAGGAATGTTCTGAGTGGGTCTCAAAAGTGATTCACAAAACGTACTTCAGAGGGGAAGCCAAACAAATAAGCAACCCTGAGAGCCCAGCAGCCAAAGACAAAAATAGCAGCAAAGCACACCACTTCTCCCTGGAGTGTTGGCTGACGGTTTCTCTGGGAAGTGGAGCGGAAATGGACTTTTGCCAACGTGGCGGGCACTTAAAGTCACCATGGCCCCTTCTTGTGGGGCTAGATATTTTCTTTTTTTTTCTTTTGAGATGGAGTTTCACTCTGTTGCCCAGGCTGGAGTGCAGTGGCGTGATCTTGGCTCGCTGCAACCTCCGCCTCCTGGGTTCAAGCAATTCTCTGCCTCAGCCTACCGAGTAGCTGGGACTACAGGGGCCCGTCACCACACCTGGCTAATTTTTGTATTTTTAGTAGAGGCGGGGTTTCACCATGTTGGCCAGGCTGGTCTTGAACTCCTGACCTTGTGATCCACCTGCCTTGGCCTCCCAAAGTGCTGGGATTACAGGAGTGAGCCACCACGCCCGGCTGATCTTTTCTTTCAGTAGCTTAGATTCTCAGACTTCTTTGTGGCTTCAGACAGAAGCTGCAGGGGAGGATGGAGGCTCAGGGAGTCTAGAGCTTCAGCCAAGGCTGGCCTGGACTCCAGATCCTGGCTAAGGAAGCCGGCTGAGGCCCAAGGCTGGGTATGGGGCCTGCCCTGCGCCTGGTTGATGGTGAAGGCAGTCCGAACACTCTCTGTGCCCATTGTTCCCCTGGCTTGCCTCTATCTGAGCCAGCTCTGAGGTTTGCTGACTCCCGCCATTGGCGGTGGCTGCTGGAAAGTTATCAGATGGATACATTCATTCAAGGTGTCCCGTGGGCTCTCTGTTTGGCCTGATGGTGTGGGGCACTGGTATTATTCCTTCTCCTGTCCTAGGGTGGCCGGTGAATGAGGGACAAGGGCAGCAGATCATGAACCAGGAGCCAAACCGGACCCTCCTCAGAGAACCTGGGTGGGTTCCTGATGGCTGAGAGGGACTTGGGATGGCCACTGCTGGGGGTGTTGGGAGCACAGGGGCCTGAAACTCTGGTAGACTTGTCCCGCCACTCATTGTCATGGGCCGTCTGGGCCTGCTCTGTGGAGAATGTCTCAACCTGGTGGCGTCTGGGGAAAGGAGGGATTCCTAGGAGCTGTTAGTCTCCCCAGTGAGCTTCCTCCCTCAGCTTCCTGAAATGAGGGCTCCCAGGAAAGGGAATGTGGAGAGCAGAGCGGAGGGGGTGGAGTGGGTGGTGCTTGCTGTTCCCGAGGGCCTCACCTTGGCCAGGGCCTTGATGCCCATCAAGTCCACGAAGCTGACTCCACTCATGTCCAGGATGAGGGTGTGGAAGGTGACGAAGGGTGGGACGCTGGCCAGCATGTCACTGGGCTCGCCGGGGGCCTCAGCGGAGGCTGGTGGCTCACTCTGGGCAGGTGAGGAGCTGTCAGGGCTGAAGGTGATATAGGACACGCTGGTGCCGTTAGCCGGGGTCTGGTTGTTGTTGGGGTCGGTGGGGGGCGCATTCTCAAAGTCCTGCTGCAGCTCCTGCAGGGAGACAGTCTGGAAGGGTGGGGACAGTGGGCAGAGTCAGGGACCACCAGACTGAGCCAGACCTTGCTGTGACTGAAGCAGGGGCATGGAGGGTGTAGGTGTAGGGGAATAACTCGCCTCGGTGATGGTGAACACAGACCCTGAAAGCTCCACCAGAGAGGCCTCTCCCAAAGCCCTTTCTTAGGCAGGGCCTGCAAACTTGGTCTCCTACAACCCAGACAAAGTCAGAGGACCCAGCCAAGAGAGGCACTGAAGCCTCAAGCCCACTCTCTCTGGGAGAAAGCCCCTCCGGGGACACTGAGCTCCTTTATTTCTTGAGACAGAGTCTCCCTCTGTTGCCTAGGCTGGAGTGCAGTGGCACTATCTCGGCTCACTGCAACCTCTGCCTCCCGGGTTCAAGTGATTCTCGTGCCTCAGCCTCCTGAGTAGCTGGGATTACAGGTGCCCACCACCACGCCTGGCTAATTTTTGTGTATTTTTAGTAGAGACAGCGTTTCGCCACGTTGGGCAGGCTGGTCTCGAACTCCTGAACTCATGAGAGTGATTCTCCCATCTCGGCCTCCTAAAGTGCTGGGATTACAAGGATTACTGCCATGGCCACCCCAGCCTTGCTAGCCCTGGGCTGCCTGGGTTCCCCAGGAAATTCACTGCTGTTCCCCCTCTGGGTTGTTCAAAAGTCCATGGGCCATGTCCTATCTTAGCCAGAAAATGGAGAAGGGCCTTGGGGGTTCAGTGGCTTCCCTGGGAGATGGTAGCACCTCATCCAAGAAGAAAAATGCCCAGGCTGGGCGCAGTGGCTCAGGCTTGTAATCCCAGCACTTTGGAAGGCTAAGGTAGGTGGATCACCTGAGGTCAGGAGTTTGACACCAGCCTGGCCAACATGGTGAAACCCAATATCTACTAAAAATACAAAAATTAGCTGGGTGTGGTGGCACCTGTAATCTCAGCGACTTGGGAGGCTAAGGCAGGAGAATCGCTTGAACCCCAGAGGTGGAGGTTGCAGTGAGCCAAGATAACGCCATTGCACTCAAGCCTGGGTGACAAGAGCAAAATTCCATCTCTAAAAAGAAAAAGAAAAAAAAGAAGAAAAATGCCCAGCGGCCACCAGGCAGTGTTCCCAGAGACTTTCTGTCTTTGCCTGTCAGGGTGGGAAGCGGGGCCCCCAGGGTACCATGAGTAACAGGGGGCAGTATCAGAATGGGCAGGAGAGCAGGGCACGGGGCTGCTTCTGGCCTTCATTCACCTTGGTTTTCATGAATAGAGACCTCCTCTGTTGTGTGGGCCTCATTCTCCGCTTCTCCTGCTTCTTGAGGTATTTTTGCTTGGCTAGTAATACTTTCTGGGGGTCCATGCCTGTCTGCAGGGAGAGAGCCAACAGCAATCTTGACCTCCACCCTCTATGGGAGTGGCCTATTCTCAGCTCCCACCGCCCTTCTGCTTCCATTTTCCGGCCACTCTCTGTCCAGAGCCTCTGGTCGCCAGGGACTGAGCCTTACCTTGGCGATGACCTTTTGCCTGAAGATCTCTGAGTTGGCAAAGTAGAGAGGGGAGCAGTACGTGATGATTTTAATCCCCTGGATATCCTGGGCCTGTGACAGGGAGACTGAGCTCAAGTTGCAGAAATGTCTTTATTGGCTTTAAAAAGCAACCTCTTCTTGGGGTGGTGCAGAGCAAAAGAAGGAGGTCATAAGCTTGAATTACCTACCCTATTATAGGTCTTGGGATTCACATAAATGTCAGTGTCCATGACCTGGGCCAGTGCATAGCCATTTCGACTGGATGAAGCAGGAAGAGAAAAACATAAGAGAATGCTAATGGCACATGGGCCTGGAAGGGTGCCCCTGCTGGGGCGGGGGCAGAGCCAAGGTAGGATGGGGTCCTGTCCTCACCCCCAGACTTGCTGTGTCTGTCTTTTTGCACTGGAGACACATGTCTGGTGGCCTGTGGCCTCCTATAACTATGAGGATGACAGGCAGGTCCTTGACATAGCTCCCAGACCACAGGGCAGGGGAGAGAAGTGGTGGGAGAAGTGGTGGGAGTCGCCCTGAAGTCATCATTTCCTTGTTCTGAGTTCTCAAGAAGAGAAGATAGGATTCCCCCAACATTCAGCGTACTCCCTGCCTGGGCCAAGACCCCTTCTCTGTAATACTCCCAGTGTGTAGAACACAGCTTCTGTCTTCCACCCTGGCGCTCTCCTGGGGTGGGGTCCCATTTGGTTTGGGGTTCTGGCAATGTCTTTGGAAGGATGTTGAATCTCACCACCTGCCCTTGCCCTCCTTTCTCTGCCACTGCCCTCTCCCCAGCCATCCCCAGCAAGAGTATGCTGGCTTTCTCTGGGGTTTTCAAGATATGGGAAGTCAAACAGCCCAGACTGTGCCCACAGTCCTGGCTGGGTTGGGCTCTCTTTGGGCCTGGCAGCACCTCCAGTGCCAGGCCCAGAGGTGGAAGGTACAGTGGACTAAGCCAGGCCGTGGCATGGAAGCCCTTTGCGGGCTGGCCCAGGGAACCGACTGTGGGCCTAGGAGGGCGGAAGCTATCACTTACAACTGAGTCTGGAAGACCACGACCAGGACGGAGAAGGCGACACCCACTGCCACACCATAGGGCAGGCTGAGGAAGAAGGAGGAGAGGAAGCTCACTACCCAGATGCACTGTGAAAAGAGAGATGTCAAAAGCAGACCTGGGGAAAAAACAACCTCTTTCAGGAAGTCTTCCTGGATTAGCCAAGGCCATTCTCTGTTAGTACAACCTCAGAGCCTCTCTTCTCTTTTTTTTCTTTAAATAGCATTTTTTGCAATATTTTATGTATTTGTGCTTTGGTTACACTTTCCTCTTTCCCTTAGATTGACTGTGGTTGCCTGATCTTGTCTGTGTTTTTAGTAGAAGCCCCAGCACACAGGGAGGTGGCATCTATAAGAGCATGCATCTTGGGTCAGATCTGTTTGGGTTCAAAATGTGTTTGTTTGTTTGTTTTTGGAGTCACAGGGTCTTGCTCTGTTGCTCAGGCTGTAGTGCAGTGGCAAGATCAGCTCACTGGAGCCTCAAACCCTTGAACCCAAGTTGTGCTCCCGCCTAACCTTCCTGAATAGTTAGGACTATAGGCACGTGCCACCACACCCAGCTAACTTTTTATTTTTCTAGAGACGGCTCTCGCTAAGCTGCCCAAGCTGACCTTGAAATCCTGACTTCAAGCGATCCTCCTGCCTCAGCCCCCTAAAGTGCTAGATCACAGGTGTGAGTCAGCACACCCAGCCCCAAATTTTGTTCTTTAATGGCTATGTGAAACAAAAGGAGAATAATAATGCCTACTTCATGAAAGGATTCAAAAGTTAAGGAATGTGACGGTCCTAGCCTAGTGATGGATGCTCAGTAGGTGATCAATAAATGTGAGTTCCCTCTCTCTGTCTCACAGCGAGCTGCGTGGGCCCTGACAGGAGCTCAGCAGTGCTTTCTGATCGGCTGGGGGCCTGGTTTTGTGTGTGGGTAGGGGGCAACATTGGGTGAAGTTTTGATAGTTGCCCCCTATAGATTTTAAGACCTGGAAATTCCTCTAAAGGAAATAAATCTGCCCAGATTCCTGTAGAGAATTGCTGTGAAGATCAAATGGAAACAAAAGCCGCCATATGAACCTAAGGGAATACCACCATAGCGGGGGCTTGTTGGGTTATGGTCAAAGCAGATCCTTGGGCTGGGAACTGAGGTATAATTTTTCTCCCTGTCCTCATCACTGTCTCTCTGGGTGACCACAGATGAGCCACTCACTTCTCTGGCTTTAAGGATTTTCTTCTCTGCCCTAGGTGGGTGAGACTGCCTTCCCTATGAGACAGTACAGCCTAGAGGTCTGGAGTCCAGGACTTGGAGTTTTAATCCAGACTCTACCACTCCCTACCTCTGTGGCCTTTGACAATTTACTTAACCATTCTGAGCCTTGGTTTCATCACCGTTAAGAAAGTTTAGTAAATCCTCTCCCATAGGTTATGGTGGGGCTTAAATGGAGAGAAGGCAGTGTCGTCAAAACACACTGGCCTTCATTACTATGCCCAGCGGATGATGCGGTGGAGTGTGTGACTAATCAGGACAATAAGTCATGTTTGCAGAATGTTTGCGCTCATGCGGTGTTTTCCCACTGGGATCTCATTTAATCCTCGGAACCAGCGTTTGACGCAACCATGACTGCATGAGTCTCACCCCCATTTACAGATGAGGAAATAGAACCCCAGGGAAGTCTAGTAACTTGCTCAAGATTTTGGTCCTCTGGCTTTATGTTCTAGGTTTTTTTTTAAAATACAAACTATTTCCTTTTGTTTTTTAAAGCTGTATGTCATAAAGTAGTCATAGCTAAGCTTTATTGAGTATAAAATACGATGTAGACAACATGTTTACTTGTATTACCTTGCTTCTTCTTCATAGAAAACCCTGGGAGGCAGAGAGCATAAAATAACCATTTGCCCAGTTAAGACACCAAGACTGGGAAAGGTTAAGGGGCTTGCTATTGGCCATGGAGCCAGCAGATGGCTGAGTTAGGGTTTGAACATAGGATGTTTCACTTCGAAACTCGGACTTTTAACCACTCATCTCATGCTAATTAGGAAGCAGCAGACTAGAGGGTTCATTGTTAGGACAGGGCTGACAGGGCTGTGGGGTTGGAGGAGAGGGCAGGGGCATGGCCAGTACCCAGAGGCTGCCCGATACTTACACAGTCCAGCTTGCTCTTCCTCCACAGGTAGTAGGGGTCGGTGAGTTGCTTGAGGGAGTTCTTGAGATTGACAGCGATCAGGGCTCCTAGCACAGACTAGAGAAGCAGAACATTGCTCCAGGACCCCAGGGTCTCCCCTTCTTTTTGCCCTCCTGCGCATACCCGACCCCAAGGCCTGGCAGGACAGAGACGGAGTTCTGGAACACCTCCCCTGGCTGATCCCCCAAATCTCTGCATTCGACCTTAGGTTTGGAAAGTGCTGGCGTTAGAGCCATGGGGTCCTTCCTGGCCCCATCCTTTCCCTATCTCTCTTCCCTCATCTCTAAATGACGCATGCCTAGAGCCCTCCTAGCTGGGCTATATAAGAGCCTGGTACTCGTGGGTAGGTGCAAATGTTGCCTAGGGATTAGACTCTGAGGCCAGAAGGCTGGAGTTTGGGACCAGCCCTGCGCTGTAAGCTGCCTCACTATGGACAAGGTTACTTAGACTCTCAGACTCAGTTTCCTTCACCTGTAAAATGGGGAGGATAAAACCTGCATTGTCTACCTCACAGTTTGTGGTTGAGACTAAGTGTGACAACAGTGGCACTTTGTGGTCCGTAAAGTGCCACACAACTCTCAGGGATTGTTCTTATTGGAGTCTTTCGTTGACTTCTGCTCGATGGCTGGGCTCTTACCTTAGGGAGAGGATACAGATAGATCCCCAGGACCAGCATGGTGATCATCACCACCAGAGACACACACAGGCTGGCCACCTATTCCGAGAAAGAGTTGGGGATAGAGGGAAGGTGTGAAATTTTTGCTCTTGATTTACTTCCAATCCATGGCTTTGGTGGAGTGGAGACTAAGACGGGAAGAAGGGGTCGGAGAAGAGCTGGCCTGGCTTGCAGTGCCCAGGCTTTTTTGGGGCAACTGTTCTCTTACCACCTCCCCCCAACTCCCCTAGAACAAGGCTCACCTGGGATTTTCCTCCAGCTCCATCCACAGCCAGAGTGACAGAAAGCGCACAGCAAATGACATGAATTTTAAAGAAGGAGCCAAAGAAGTTGCTGCAGCCGAGAGCGATCATCTCCTGCAGGGAGGGGACAGGATTAGAAGCCAGTGTGGGGCTGGGGGGCACGGGGACCAAGTGCAGTCAGGCATGCAAGCTGGACTGTGGGCCTAAGACCTGAGAGTGACCCAGTGGCTATAAAGTCACACATTCCCAGTCAAGAGGAGGTCAGCCTCTTAGGGTCAGAGGACCCCCTATCCCCCACACTCGAGGCAGCCTGCCTCACCTCAGCCCAATGATCTCCCCACCCAAGATATGTCATGCCAGGCCTGAGTTGACCTGTCCTGCCCAGTCCTGCCGGGGGTGGCCAGAGCTACCTGGTTCGAATCCACGTCGTAGCCGTGCTTGTTGGCCAGGGTCCGGCCCATAGCCAGGTTGATGACGTAGCTCACGATGGCTAGGGAGAAGGCTGTGCCTATCATGTCCTTCCACTGTGAGACCACAGGCGACACCGGGGTGGGGAACCTGCCGAGGAGCCAGGAAGGAGGCAGAACCCAAGGGTGTGAGTGGGGAGGGCAGCCAAGTCCTTCACCAGCCCACAGGGACCAGCCAGGCCCCCATGGTGTGCCGGGATCTTTGCCTAAGTTATCCCATCCAGTCTGAATCCTCAGCACCACCCCATAGGGTAGGGACCATCACTCCTGTTTTACAAAGGAGGAAACTGAGGCTGAGAGAACCTAACTTGCCCAAGGTCCCCGGGCCAGTATGTGGTAGGGCCTCGTTTGTTAACTCCCAGATTCTGAACCCTGTATGCTCACGAGTCCACAGACCCCTAGACCTTTGGTGCTATGTGGTCTTCCCTCCCTTGCCTGTTCCAACCCTGCAGGACAAGCGTCACCCCTCTCCTCCCAGGGCCCAGCATGGTGCCTGGCACAGAGTGGATGCTTCATGAATCTGGTTGAACCTAATAGTTCCCTTTCTACATGGACAAAGAACCAATGCATTAGAGCAAGGCAAAGAGCCAGCAAGCGGCTGTTCAGAGAGGCTTTGTTTAACAGCATCAGTTGAATGAGATTTATAAGGGGAGTGTGGCAGTTAAGACTCATTTCTCATAAAATAGCCTACATTGGCTGGTTGTGCGGCCCTTCTCAGGAAACGGTAATAGTAATAATTCATACATGGTCAGTGTCATACAGTTTCGACTGCACTTTCATAGAGTTCATCTTGTCTCCCTCTCCGAGCTCAGGCCTTAGTGGGGCATGAGGTGCGGGTGGGCCAGGCTTCTGGGCCACCTGGACTCACCCGCGTTGGATTTCTCCCACGATCTGCATGTGATACTTTTTGGGCATCTTACAGCCCCCGGAGATAGCTGTTGCCACCACCACCTGCAAACCCCAGAGTGGAGAATGGGGATTGGCCCTAAGGTGGGGCCAGGGCAGGCGTCTCTCTCAAGTCTCCCTTTTCTCTGGGGACCCTGAATCCCACTCCCCTGCCTCCTTAGGGGGAATTATTAGAGCAGTAGAAAGAGAGGAAACGCCACATACGGGGGATGGGATGGATTCACAACTGACTTCCTGTCCCACTGGCTGCCAGTTGAGGGGATGGGGTGAGGAAAGGTAGGGGCTTCCTCGTCTCACAGCCTGGCCCCCCAACATCCCAGCTCTGAACAAGGTCCTTACCACAATCATCTCTGTAGGGATGGGGAAGCGAATCTTGTGCATGTAGCGAGCATTGAGCTCCTTCACCAGCACCAGGAAGGCACCGCTGATGAGAGCGAAGATGAGCGAGGCGATGTTGGTGTGGGGGAGGTTTTTGCAAATGTCAATGAAGGTCTGGGGGAAAGAGCATCATGCTCACAGGCTCCCACCCCTTCTTCCCATAATACCCCACCTTTGGGTGTCTGACCCAGGGAAGGGATGCCATCAAAGCTAATGGAGGCACACCAAGACAGAATTAAAACCCTGATCAGGAACCCTGTCCCGTCGCCCACCGCCCTTTCCCAAAAGGCACATGGGGAACTTGTGCTAGAAAAGGAATGCTTTCTTTTTCTTTAGAAGAGTTTGGGCTGAAGGAGGAGGGATGGAGATTAGACATAAGGCAGGACTTTCCAGGCAGGGAGGGGTTGAGGCACTAGAATGGGGAACTGGCGGAGAATGTACAGCTCTTTTCTGCAGGGATTAACTACCAAGAACCTCTGTGAGTCATGACTTTGACCCTCCCAAGACAGAAACCCCCTCAGAATCCTCTCTGAACAACAGCTAAGCCAGCCCTTGCAATGAGGAGCTCACGACATCTTAAAACAGTACATCCTCCTCATGTGTCTGCTGGAGCCTTGCTCCAATGGCAGGGGTGCATCCCCAGACTCACAAAGACGATGGACCCTGGGCCTGTGTAGGAGGGGATGGTCAGTCCGAAGATGTACTTGAGCACCGAAATCAGGATCTGCAGGCCGGCGGCCGTCATGAAGCCCCGGATGAAGGACTCGGAGAGGTAGATGGCCACAAAGCCAAACTGCATGAAGCCCAGACCCATCTGAGAGGAGGAAAAGGGTGGTTGGTGGCGGAAGACCAATGTGGTTCAGCAGTTCCAACGACCCGCCCCACACACACGCAGGTCTGGAGCTCCGTGCAGTCCTAGCGTAGCAGTAGCTTGAGGGAATTGGACCATCTGTGACCTTCACCTGCCCTTCACTGTGCTCTACATGGCTGCCATCAGACCTTCAGCTCCTTTAGAGCATGGGCCTTTCTGTCACATCACCTCTCTGGCTTTGGCTTATCTGTAAAATAAGTCTAGTCCTCCCCCAGTGTTTTCTCTCTCAGTAAATGACACCATCATTAACCTGGTTGCCCAACCAAAAACTTGAGAGTCATCCTCCCTTACCTCCCACATCCAGTCTATCACCAAGCTCCTGGTAAAACATTCTTTTCAAGTCCAGCCCCATCTCTTTCTCTACCTGGTCTTCGCCTGCATTATTCCTGCCTGGGCCTCTGCAGAGTCTCCCAACAGGTCCCCTGCCTTGATTCTAATCCACCTCCCACTCATCATTGTGTAGCCCAAACGATCCTTATAAACTGCCAATCAGACCCAAAGTCGCTGTTCAGAGAACAGACCCCAGATCTCATTGTCTGGCTCCTGCCTACTTTTCCATCCTCTTCTGGGCCCTCTACCCTCCAGCCACACCAAGCCCCTTACTTTGCCTGCGCAGATCACACTCTCTCAGGCCTCAGTGTTTTTAGGCACTGTTCCTTCTGCCTGGACCATCCTCTGTATACCTTGTTCCTGGTTAAGTTCTCATCCTTTAAGAGAGGTGGAGTGTCACCTCCTCTTTGAGGTCCTCCGTGACTCTGCTCTGTGTCCCTACAGTCTTTGTACATGGCTCTACTTTGCTGCTTATCTCACTGCATACAAATTTATCTGTTGACATGGCTCCTTCCTCTGCTGGGCTGTGAGCAACTTGTGAATTGGACCTCTTTCTTACTTATCTTTGTATCCCAGGGTTTAGCCTAGTTCTTGGCACAAAACCGAATGAATGAGTGAATGAAAAGGCGCTCTCTGGGACTGCGTTTTGCTCTTGCATTCTGTCATGTTGTGCTTCCCTTCATAAAACCTAGCAGAATCCTTTGCAACCATTTGCAGAAGCTCAATTTATGTTGTGCAACTGCTGCTGTGGCTTGGAGCAGAGGAGGCTGGAGAGGAGTGAGGGATGTTAGAGAAAATTAGCAGTCTGCAAGACTATGCTGGCAGAGAGTTGGGTTTCTCCACGGGATAATGGAGAGAGGCTGTGAGTCTTTTACAGGTTTAAAGCTCAGGACAGTTTAACCAGGTACAGCTGTTGTTTTTTTGTATGGTCGTGCTACATGCAGATGAGGAGATACTGTTAATTTTCAAGGTTCACTTTAGCCCTGGGATGGGGAGGAGGGAGGAGGTGAGCCCTAACTTGGTTTTTTTTTTTTTTTTTTTGAGACGGAGTCTCGCTCTGTCACCCAGGCTGGAGTGCAGTGGCGCGATCTCGGCTCACTGCAACCTCTGCCTCCCGGATTCAAGTGATTCTCCTGCCTCAGCCTCCTGAGTAGGTGGGACTACAGGCGCATACTACCAAGCCTGGATTATTTTTGTATTTTTGGTAGAGATGGGGTTTCATCACGTTGGTCAAGGTGGTCTCAAACTCCTGACCTCAAGTGATCCACCCTCCTCAGCCTCCCAAAGTGCTGGGATTACAGGCATGAGCCTCCACACCCAGCCCCCTAAATCAGATTTAGCATCAAAGCTAAGGCTTTGAGGGAGGGGCAGGGTGGTCTGATGCCCTTCTAGCAGGGTTGGGGGCTGCCCCCTCACCTGGATGATGGCGGTGAGGCAGGCTAGCGTAGCTGACACGTGCAGCCTCTCAGCCTCCATGGCTGCTGTGTCCACATAGCTCTCATTGGTGGCATTGTTGAAGACCTGGAATTTCGACTCTGGGGCCAGCTGCAGACAGATGTTACCCACCAGGATGCTGATAACGGCAAAGGTACCTGTGGTGCCCCACCCAGCCAGCAAAAATCAGAGGTTTGAACCACACCGATGGAAACCAGAAAGGGGCCCAGGAATGCTTCCCGACCCCAGGGGGATGGATCCCTGCACCTCCAAGGCTCTTCTCCAACACAATAATAACAACCACTCACTCTAACCATGATCTATGCTTTTCAAGGTGCTTTTACCCCAATGGTCAATATTGTCATACAGGACACGTGAGAAAATGAACTCAGAAATAAGAAATATAAGCAGAGCCTGAACCAGAAACCAGCCCTTGTGACCAGGCTTTCCTCCATCTCACTTAGCACCAGAGAAGTCCAAATGTCCCTGTAGTGGCCGGCTGGGACCAACCAGGGAGTTAGATGGTGATTTCTCACATCTGTTTAAGCATGTTATAGCATATGGTATATCTTGTTCTGCTAAGTCTTCCTCTCATTCCTAGGAGGAAGATGGAACAGGTAATGCTAACTGAACTCAAAGAGGCTCAGTGGTTTCTCCAAGGTCACCGAGGACCTGGAAATGACATTCACAGTGACCATTCCCCTAGGACTGACCAGGAACAACTCCAGGAGAATGCAGATGGAAAATCTCCCGAGGCCCCTTTGCCACACCTCCCATCCTTGGGGTCTGGGTCATCCTGCCTGCCCAGAGGGGAGAGGCCTTACCTGGCACCATCTGGTGAACACCCCCCAGGAAGAAGTAGGTCAGGAGGGGGAAGAAGGAGGAGTAGAGGCCATTGACTGCAGGAAGGTTGGCCAGCAGAGCAAATGCCATGCCTGCAGAGGACAACGAGACTGAAGCTCAGCAGCATGACTAGCTTATGGGGATCACAGAGGGATGGAGTGGGGATGAGGAGAGGAATGGTGAGGGGAGTGGCAATCCAGGCCTGGCTGAAGGAGCCCCTTCACCTTGTGGGACCTGGATGGATCCCCCGCTGAGTCCACCGAGCAGGTCAGGAATGATGTAGTCTTTAATCTTGTACTTGGGGAGCCAGGAGAGCACAGGCAGCAGCCCAAACACCACAGCTTTGATCTTGGCTGAGGAACATCTGGAAGGGAACGGGGAAAATTTCCAGTCGGCTCTGCATGGCTTGGACATTCCGTGTTGGAGAGGGATTATCATATCCTGCTCATTTCATTCATTGGTTCATTCAAAATTCACTGAACTGTGTGCCAGGGATATTGAGAAGAAAAGGCAGGAACTTTTTCTTGAGAGCTCATCAACTTGTCCTGGGCATTAGCTGGAGGTCTTCTGACTGCCAGCTGCTTACCTGGGGAGTTTATAAGACTTGGCTTAAAGGTATGAGTGTTATGGTGGCTCAGCCTTCGGAGGTATCAGATCCATCCCTTGGCTCAGATGGCTTTTCTCTGGGAAAGTCTCCTCTGAGTCCTGTCTGTCTGATCCCAGGCCTGGGTAACTGCACCTTGGCTCCTGCCGCTGTGTGTGCATCCTGTGTGTGCATTCCTTGCTTTTTGTCTGTCTCTCCCACTAGGCAGCAAACCCCACCACGCATGGCAAGAAGTCTAGCTCTCCTGTTCATCTTTGTACACCTCGAGCCTTGCACAGGGGCACTTAGTAAATATTTGTTGAATAAATGAATGAGTGAATACACCCGAGTGGGGCCTGCCTGCTGCCATTTTTCTTAGAACTTCCTTGAAAAGGAAGGCTCTATTGTTCCTGCAGGGTGCACTCTGCTGACTCACTATCCTTTATGTGTGGTAACTCCAATACCGGAGTTCTTTCTCCTGTTAATTCACTGGGCAGCAGAGGAGGGAAGAATTCATTGGTCAACGCAGGGTGGGGAGAGTTGATCCCTTCCCTGTTTGTTGAACACCTCAAGGTCCTTTCATAGAAACTCAGGAGCGGTAGGAACAAGGGCTTACAAACTCAAGGGTGACAGCCGGTGGATTGATGACTGGAAGTGGGTGAGGGGCATTTGCTTTCCTTCTCCCAGTTGAGGGAACTCAAATACTTAGGGCCCATTTGGTGACTCACTGGCCTGCTCTGATGAGGCTTCCTTTCCTGCCCAGCACCAATTCCTGCTCTTTGCTCTTGCTCAACAATAGTTTCCCTGACACTCGGTCCCCTGGATGTCACCCAAGACTGAAACCAACAAAGACAATGCTTTGTACCTTGGAAAGTCTGGGCAGATTTTCTCTTCCAACTAACACTCCAAGAAAAAGCATCATCATCAATATCTTACCCCCTGTCCTTTCTGGGGCTCATGGGTGCCTCTGCCATCCCTGGGATGCTGGAAGGGGAGGTGGACGGGGGATAAATTGCTTAATGCAACTCTAAAGCCTTGCTTGAAGAGAGAACCAGCCCTGCAGGGGCTCCATCAGGTCTGTTTGTGGCAGAGAAAGCCGGACTTATGAATAGAGAGCTGGCTAGGGAAAGAAAAACAACTCATTTGAGGGCTAGTCCATGCCCAACCTTACTTGCAAGTCTGCTGTATGTTGGGCAAAGCAATCTGAAGCTTGAAAGAAGAACTGGAAACAGAGGCTGAGAGGGATTAGCTTTCTAGACATTCATTCATTCATTCATTCATGAAACAAATATTTATTGGTGCACCTTCTCTATGCCAGGCACTGTTCAAGGCTCTCATGCCAGTATCATAGGAATTGTTAGTTTGCTATATCCCTTTACAGCTTTCATTATCCTAATCTTTTAGGACAATAGCAGATCTTCTCATCCTCAGACTTTGTGCCCTAAAGTCTTGGGCACAAAGACTGGCAGAGACCACCTGTCTGAGGAGCACAGCTGTGAGGACAGACTGTAACTGGGCAGAAATGGAGCCTCCCAAGAGAAACAGGGCTGGGCTGGGGCTTTTAGTACAAACTCAAGTGGGTGATTCCCCCGGCCTGAACCAGTTCCACCTGCGTCTCCACTTCAGCCATTGCCAGTGACCTCAATCCAGGTAACTGAATCAGCCGTTTCCCCAAGGGAGTGAGGGAGAGTGAGTTGGCCTATAGCTGGGCCAGAGGAGGTCTGCCAGGAGTCTGGGAATGGGGAGGGTGACACCCGCAGCCCCAGCCTCCTGGGGTGTGGGTATGGATCACCTTGTGTAGCGCCTACTTAGGGACAAGGTTTCATACCCACCATCGCATTTCCAGGGAGATGAGAGTGGAAAGACCCTGGGCGCTGGTAGGACTACACCCTGGTAGGTCCCCTCAGGAAAGTTCAGAAATTTAGGGCCTCCTTTTGGCATTCTCTGGACCAAGTGGAGGAAGGAACATCCGGGAGGGAAAGGACAAAGAACCTGGGGTGATGGTAACTTCAGGTATTTTTTGTAAGGAGGGAACAGGGCATGGAGTAAGGGCTCTGATGCTCCCCACCCCTCCATAACGTAGATGCTCATCTACCATGCCTTAACAAACCCAGAGAGACCCGGGTGAATTGAGAATATGGGAGATGCCATGCAGGGGTTTGGGAATGCCATATAACCCTTCTGGATGGTTCTTGCTCCTGCTCCCCATCCTCCCTGGGGGTCTCAGTACAGATGAGGTTGTAGGATCTTAAATTCATCATTCAGAACCTCACTTCCCCAGGGCTTCCCTTAACCCCATCTTAGGGATACCAGTGCAGAAGCCGTGTCCTGGTGCAGAAAGGATTTTGGTAGGGAGCAGAGGAGGCAGAAGTCTGGGCTCTGGACCAGTTACCTGAAGGCATTGCGAAGTTTCTCTCCCACTGGGTATGTCCGGTCCTTCTTCTCAAACTCATCGTCGAAGAGGGTAAGGGAGTATGCGGCTCTGTCTACCACGTAGCGGGGCCTGGGCTGGCTCATATCTGGGGCATTTACAAGCTTTGGGAGAAGCAGAGGAGGGGAGGGTGAGGGAACATCCCTCCCTAGTGCCAGCCCAGGCCTTCTCTCTCTGGTCCTTGCAGTAGCAGAGTTTTATTCTGGCCTTCCCCGCCCCGATAAAGCAAGGTGCCTCCCTTCCCTCTGTCAAGTTTTTCCGTCAGACTCCCTGCTCGCAGTGGCCTTCCTTCCCAGGCACTGATGATGCATAGACTCACCCTGGCTGTTTTGCTTGGCGCTCAGCACGTGGCTGGCACTCCACACCTGTGGCGTCACCATCACCCCCACTGAGCACCAGGCAAAGGGGAATCACGAGGGCAGGAGGCCCCACTTGATTCAGCAGGTGGACCCTCCCCTCCCCTGACCCCTGGTGTCCCCACAAGCCATACTCCCTTCCCAGACCTCAGTTTCCCTGGCAGAAAGGCTCCTACCATTCAGCCAGTCAGCTTGGAAGAAACAGAAAACAGCTTGCCTAGAGGCAGGGGGATAGCTGAGATGACCTCAAGAGGACCCTTCTTGGATAAGACATCTAGAACTTCACCAACAGGTTTCCCAGGGGGACAATGGTGTGTGTGGGGAAACCAGGATGGTCCACCTGCCGGCTCTCTCTCCCACGGCTTCCTGTGCCTAATCTTTCCCCCACCCTTGTGTACTGCCGCTCCTCTCCTCCTCACTTTTTGCGCAACCTGGCTGACGTTCCAGGAGCTGAGATGGGCAGAGCTGAGTGCCAGGGCCCCTGAGGCCCGGAGGAGTTCCCTGTAGGAACCTTTCCCCCTCCCTCTTCCAATTACTGGGTCTCCCACCACCCCTCTACCTCCCAGAGCTGGGAGAAGTTGCTCAGAGGACCACAGAGAAAGAAGGACAGAGAAGAAAGAGATGGGGAAGGCTTAGAGTGAGGATTTGTATCTGGGAGGTGGGGAGTGTGGGGTGGCTGTGGCCAGTTTGGCAAAAGATTTGAGATGGGGTTGAAAATGAGTAACTACTTGGGGGCTAGAGATGCCCCCAACTTCCCAGAGGAGAGCCTGGGTGACAGGGGAGGTTGTCAGAGGGGAGCAGGTTGCTTAATGCCTTTTGTGGAAGGGTCCAGGAGCCTGGGTTAATCCTGCTTTTATTAATGAGGCAGAATGGTCAGCATTACTTTTCAAACCTCAGATTCTGTATCACTAAAGTGGGAGTAACAGACATATCTCACAGGGTTGTTGTGAAGATCAAATGAGTTAATGGATAAGAAGGGGTTGTGTAAAATGTAAAGTGTGATGCAAATGTGAGTTTCTATTATGAATAAGATTGTGCTCAAGTTGGTGAAGGCTGGGCTGGTGCATTCCATTCATTTGGTCTTGGGATCCCAAGGTCCACTTGAACTACAGGTGAGGGTGGGATGCCCGGCAAGACCCCACAGGTGATACCCAGCAGAAGCGAAGGTGGGAGAATGAACCTACCCCCAGCGCCTGTGCCCAGCCCCTCGCCTGGCCCTTAGTGTGTACTCAACACATACTTGTTGAGCGAATTGATAAATGGTGTTTTGGAGGAGACATGGGCAGAAATGAGTAAGGGCAATGGCATGTGAGACATTTCAGTGGGAGAAATGAGAGACCGGGTGGCTTAGGGAAAACAGCACAAGTTTGAGAGCCAGATGACCTGGGTTCAAAGATTCAGTTTCTTCATCTGTAAATGGGGATAATAACAGTCGCAGGCAGATGCTATGAGGATTCAGTGAGATCATGTGTATGAAGAGGCTGGCCTTTTATAGGCACCCAGTAAATGGTAGTGGCGATGATTACTATGATTAAGATGGGAGGGTGCTTTCTACCTCCTAGCAGAGACTATTCAGAGGCTGCCGGCCCTTCACCGCCCGTGAGGCGGGGTGGTCTCACTCTTCCTCTCCACCTGCTCCAGAGTCTGCATGGGTCTGGCTGTCCAGGTGGTTTGCCTGCGGGGGCTCAATGAGTGGGGAGCATGACCTCCCCACATAGGAACCCAGAGCTGCAGACCTTGCTTCAGAAAAAGACTCATGGTTTGGGGAGTCTAGCCCAGGCCACTAAACAGACCACTTGCAAAAAAAAAAATAGCCAAAAATTTCAAGGGGGGCTGAGTCAGAAAAGAAGAGCCCTTTGGAAGAGGAGGTGATGGGTGATCTTGCTTCCACACCAACCAGCAGGCAGCGATCCCTGAAGTATGTTCCTAGGCTGCTTTCAAAGGGTCTAAGTTCCGGTAGTGTGTTTGCGGGGAAGGGAGTTATTAGCATCTGATTCCGCTGAACCCTACTATCCCAGCCCCCGTCCCCAGGATTTCCCCACTTCCTCAGTGGTACCTTTCTTCCTGCCACCCAGCCCACCCCCATCCTTGTTCCTGTCCTCTCCCTACCCCTCAGCCTCCATATTCAGTTGTTCATCAAATCCTATTGCTATTTCCTTCCTTCCTTCCTCCCTCGCTTCCTTCCTTCCTTCCTTCATGTCCTTCTGTCCTGTCCATTGCCTCCATACCTCCACCCACCCTGTCCCATTGCCTCCCTCTTCAAGTCTTATCTCATGTTTGGACTATTGCAAAAATTGATCTGCTGGTCTCCAGCCATGCCCCTCCAACCCAGCCTAAACTCCCTGCTCCGAAACCTCTATCTCCCTCATTTCCAGGAGGATGAGGCCCAAACTCCTTATTTTGGCATTTTTGTTTTTTTATCCTCTGGCCTTGTATTGGTGGATTCAGGAAATCTGTTGGCTGGGTCCCTCCACACCATCTGGGCTGGTCTGTTCTGCACCCACCAAACAAGCCTGAGTCTCTGTTCCCACTTTCCTCCTTACCTGAGGTGCCCTGACTCATTTCTGCCTTTCTAGATCTGCCCATCCTTAAGACCTGTTGAAGTTCCTCCTCCAACCCTCTCCTTCCTCTCCCACTCTTTTCCCTTCTCCTTCTTGCCTATGAAGCCTTTCCTGACCACCTTGAAACCCTGAAGGATTTCTCTTTCTCCCAGGATCTCCATGTGCACCCCTCCAGCCTGTACACTAGTGTTGGCTTTGGCCATTTTTCTTTGGGAGGAAAGCGGCAGGGGTGGTGGAAGTCCTTCAGAGAGCAACAGGTAGGTGACTCAGGACCAGCTCTGCCCCTCTGGGCAGACTCACTGACAGATGGAGCACCAGATACTAGGGAGTCCCCTCTGACACAGGCTAACAGAGGAAAAGCCTCCCTTGCTTTACTGGAATACCAAATCTGTCTCTTTCCCATGCCATCTGCCCATCCCAGGAATAGGATGCTGAAGGGGAGAAGGCTCTGGGAGCTTTCACAATCCTGAGTTTGCATAAAGAGGAGAACCCAGCAGCCAGTCAGAGTCAGAAAGTTTTGTGTAGAAGAGAACTTGAGGACCACATTTGTCCAATTGTCTCATTTTGCAGATAAAGAAACTGCACTTGATTTAACTCCAGTGTTCCTATTCGAAGGGGCTTCAGACCTTCCAGGGACAAAGCTGATCTCAGGACAATGTTTTCCCCTGAGTGGCACTCAGAATGCCCCTTTCTGACCACCCTGGTGACCTTGCCACCCCAGCTGATGGGACAGGACCTCTGGGTTCTGTTACTCCTCTTGAGGGCTCTGGTTCCCTCCTGGCCTTGGTTTCCCAAGAATATGATGGCCAGAGTTGCAAATCTGCAGCCACAGGAACTGCCCCAGCTCCTGCTGAGAAGGCGCCCTCAACATACTTCCTAATTCCAAGAATAGGGGTTGAGGTGGGGTGGGACGTAGAAGACAAGGGTACTTCATCCCCAGCCAGCCCTTCAGGTGAGGGCAAGAGGTGGAGGGAAGGGGGATGGGAGTGGTGGAAAAGGGTGGGTGGCATGGTGGGGAGGAGGAGTCTCAGAGAACTAGCAGGGATGGGAGTCCCAGGGAATCCTCAGAGAGGGTGTCTCACGATGCCAGATGCTACATTAGGGGCAGGAAAGTGGAAGAGGGAGCAAGAAAGAGAGCCAGGTATAGGGAACATAACAATCTGATCCCCAGTTAAACAAACAAACAGCCATGATAAGTGATGTCAGCATCGCTGGAAAAAAAAGTCAAGTGCCCTATTGCCAGAGGCGTGTATCTACAAGCCCTGCCCCCACCACCCCTCCACTGCCTTCCATCCCCCTACCGGGCCAGGGATAAATAGCAGGTGCCATGTGATAATACTGAGAAACAAAAGGGTGACCCTGCCCCTCCTCCACTGTGCAGGGAAGGGGGGCAGGTCCTAAAGAGCTGGAGGGACTTAGAGGGGGTCTGTAGGGTTTAAGGGGAGTAGGGGGTGAGCCAGGAGAGCAGAGGGCAGGAGATGTGGGTGCATGGGCCACTCCCATGCACTGGCAGGAGAGTGGGTCAAATCTGGAGCAGAGGGGATGCAGGGGTCGTGCGAGCCGGAGTAGCTGGGAGAGGGGAAGCAAAGAGAAAATAGACCCTGCAGGGAGGGCACAGGCTGGAGCAGATTCCCTCTTGAGATTCTCCAGGATTTCTCCTCCAATGAGCTCATGCCAAAGCACGCCCCTGGTACCTTCTCCCAGTCACATTTCTAACCAGGTCTCTGTCAACACCATCCAAATATTGTAGGCAGAGATGGGCTTGGGCAGAGATGGGCTCAGGCAGAGACAGTGCCCGAGTGGATGCACTGAAAGGCTCGGAACGGCACCTGGCCATGGGAAGCATGCAATAAACTCCAACTATCATCATTACTGCTATGACTCCAGAGGAGCCTCTTTCTTGCTCTGCCATCTCTAGTGGGCACTCTGCCTTTTTTTGGCTTGCCTTTTTCCATCTGCCCCTATACCTGCTGCCCCATGCCTTAACCCCTCCAAATTTTCCCAGGACTTGATGAGAGGAACAGCAGAAAATCTTGTCAGAAGAGGGTAGAACATCTGCAGAGCAGGACTGTGAGGGGTCCATTTGTGGGTTTTGGTTGGATCTGGAGGTGATCCTGTCACTGTGGGCCAGGCTGACTTCCTCCCTCAGTCCTGTCGGGGGTGTGCATGTGAGGGAGGGGGTTTTTGACGCATGTGTGCCAGGTACGGGAACAGCCCCGGCTGGGCCAACCCACCCTGGCATCCTTATCACTGGTTCCTAGCCAGCCGGTTGCTGTGTTCTGGGAAGAGGAAAGGTCACCTTGAGGTTTCCCCTTTGCTCTAGCTGCTGGTTGCCTCCCTGCCTCATCCAGGGTGGGGGCCACAGGGTAAGAGCAGCCTCTGAGTGACCCAGGTGTGAATGTGAGCTGGGACAGACAAGCTGGCTGGGGTCTCAGTGGGAGACCACATCCATGGCAGGAGGAGGAAGGATGTAGAGGCCTCTGCACCCCTAAGGCTTTTTTGTTTGTTTGTTTTGTTTTTTTGTTTTTGTTTTTTGAGGTGGAGTCTCCCTCTGTCACCCAGGCTGGAGTGCAGTGGCACGATCTTGGCTCACCACAGGGTGCACTTCCTGGGTTCAAGCAATTCTCCTGCCTCAGCCTCCCTAGGAGCTGGGATTACTGGTGCGCGCCATGACACCCAGCTAATATTTTTTATATTTTTAGTAGAGACGGGGTTTCGCCATGTTGGCCAGCCTGGTCTCGAACTCCTGACCTCAAGTGATCTGCCCTCCTTGGCCTCCCAAAGTGCTGAGATTACAGGCTGAGCCACTGCGCCCAGCCCCCCAAGGCATTTTTAAACACTCCTTTTCCTTCTACTGTCCCTGTGTTTCCAGGGCAAATCTCTCCCTACTCCTCACCCCAGCCTAATTTCCTCCTCAGTGTAGGGGAGGATGAGATGTCCCTAAGGTGTCTTAGAGACTGCATCCCGTGTAGGAGAGAGATTCACTGATACCACCCCCCAAATCCCCACTCCTTATCTCCAGGCGAACTCTCCCTCCTCTGCACTTTCCCTGCTGGGAATGGGTGCTGGGCTGAGGAAATAGGCTCCAGAAAGAGGGACCAAGGCTAGACTTTGAGAATCACTTCCTAACAGCAAGACTGACAAGGTCATGGGCTCCCTGGAATGGGCACTTGAGGTTAAATTCCTAGAAGTCTTTAAGGAGACTGGGGTTGCTTTCACTTGGAAGCAGGGCCTGGGCAAGGAGACCAGTGAAGGGCCCAGCTGCTCTGGTCCCAGAAATCCAGGCGAAAGCCCAGAGAGGCATCCAGTGAAGATCAACTCCCCTTGAAGGGGTGGCTCTGCCCCTTCCATCTTCCAAGTAGTGACCCCACAGCCCCCAAAGCTTGGTCAGTGTTGAGCTGGTCCTCGATTCCCCCAGCAAGTTCACGGGGGTCAGTCTGGCTGTTTAGTACGGTTTAAGAGGCACTCTTGAATACTGGGTATATGCCAATCTCCGGAAGACTCTGGGCATTAAAAGATAAAGAGGAGTCCGTCTCTGCCCCAGGGTTTATACAAATGAGACTCAGAGAGCAGGTGGCTAGCTCTGGGAAGTGCCTGGGAAGGCCTTCCTGGCAGTGGAGGTGCTCTTGGCCATGCTGGTCTCCATGCTGCCCAAGCAGGGTCTTGCCAGGTTCTGGATGCCAGGGCCAGGATGAGGGAGGTGGGGGAGGACTGTGGGGTTCTGAGAAAGGGTCATCTGCATGAGTGAAGCCACTCAGGGGGAAAGCCCTCTCTCAGTCTGCCCACTTGGGGGGCTGCGTCACTCCAGGGTCTTCTGGTCCTCAGACCCGTGGGGCCAAGTGTAAGGGGGCAGTTGATGCTGGAATAATAGAAGCTTTGTTAGGTCTCAGCTGGGGACCCTCTGGGCTGGTTTTGAGGAATGGGGGCACTGCCTGAGAGTGGCTTGGAACCCCTTGGAGCTGCAGGATGAGGGGTTTGGAGGCTGAGAGCCTGGAGAGCTGGCTGCCCATCCACTGTCCTGGCCCAAGCCCTTCTGTGTTGAAGCATTCACCATTGAGTCGGGCGTCCCAGGTCCAGCTACCGCCCACCCGCCTGCCTGATGGAGCTGGTCCCTTGCTCACCCTCTCCCACTCCTCAGTTTCCTCCCCCTCCACCTCTTCCAACTTCTCAGGACTAATGGGGACACATGGGATTCTGTGTAGTCCATGCTAAGTTCCCCGAGCTGGTGGAGAAGTACATGAGTGAAGGAGGATGTCTGGGCGGTAGAAGGAGGGGGAGACAGCCATGCAGAGTAGGCTGGTGAGTCAAGCATTAAGAGCTTTTCCCTCCAAGACTTGAAAAGAAAGGGAGAGGAGCAGCCCACAGCTTCAAAGGCTGTCGCGGAGGAAGGTCTAACATTTTCCTTTCCCTCGGAGGCCTTTGCCTCGCTCTGTTTCGGGGTCTGGCGACCACCACACCCTCACCCTACTTGCTCCCTCAGTCAAGCCCAGCCTTGCAGCCCAGGTCCTTACATAGACGTGAAGACCCAAAGGGCTCCTCAGAGGGGAAGGGCTGGGAGGCTGCTCTCAGACTCCAGGGGCCAGAGTGTCCTTCCTACTTGTGCTCAGCTTGGCAGTTGGTTCCTGTCATCCCTCCTCTCGGTACCCCTGGTGACTGCCCTCTTGCAGGGATGACCCCAGCCCAGTGGGGTGGGCTGGGCTGGGTGGGGCTTACCAGTGGGTGAGCAAAGCCGGCTGGGCAGGGCTGCAGGTGTGTCTGGGGAGCGGGCAGCCGAAAGGTGTTCCTGAGGTGTGTGAAAGGGCTCTGCTCAAATAATCCAGGGAGGCGTTTATAAATAACTTTTCCTCAGGGCCACGGGGTGAGCCCCGGCTTCTGATTGGCTCAGAGGGGAAGTGGTTTTGAACACTACACCATAGCTAAGCCTGAGGAGATAGGAAAAGGAGATAAGGGGGAAAAGGTCCCAAATGAACAGCCCTTTTTTTGTTTTACCTGGGGAGCAGGGCTGTGTGATGGGAGCTTGGCACTTCCTAAATCCACCCCGAAGACAATAGGTCACATTCAGCGGGGCTCCTGCCCCACCGGCTCCCCCAAGGCGGCCCTGGAGGAGGGGGACGAGGCAGAGGAGGGGGACAAGGCAGGACAAGCTCCTCTGAGCTTGCTGTCCTGCTGCTTATGGGGCTGGGGGTCAGGCCAAAGAGCCTCTTGGACAATGGGAGCTATTGAGGCCACCTGAGGGGTGTGCTCTTGGGGATGCTTGCTTTGAAGATTGGAGATCTAGGGGGTGGGAAGACAGTAGTCCTCTGAACACCCCTGAGGAAGGGGAAGAACCATGTCTGGGAGGCCCTGGGAGCCTTTAGGCGGTTTTGGTTTGTGGTGGAGACCTGGTTCCCAGTTCTGTCCCCAATGTTAAGTTGCTTGTGAGCTCTGTGCCTTGGTCTATCCATCAGTGCAATGGGGGAAATTATTCCTGGCCCCTCAGGTAGTGTGCAAAGAGAACACAGGGGTTTAGAATCTGATAAAAGAGCTCAAGAAACTGGACTTAGAACAATTATATGAGAGGCGACCTGAAGGCTAGCAAATCTCCAGTCACAGCCCTCTGCCGCTTCTAGGAATTAATGTCTCCCTGGGTCATGGCACTGCTCCGGCTGCTGCCAGCAGAGCTGCCCATCCCAGGCCCATTGAGTGCTACGGAAGGACCTCAGAAAGCAATTGTGGACAGGGGCTGGGAGGGTGGGTAGGGGAGTTTCTTAATTTACTTCCTGGGAGGGAGAGTCACTACCCGACACCAGGTGCCCATTCTTTGAGACATCAAGTGCTGCACTGTCCTCGTCCTCAACTGTCCTCCCATCTCTCCAAAAGAAACCAGAGGCTCTGAAGTGGGCTGGAATCAGTGCAGGGGGCTTCAGTAAGGCACCTCTGGAAGTTGGGGCGAAAGTTCCCCATGGTGAAATGAGCTAGCTTCAGTACTTAATAGGGACTCAATAAATATTTGTTAAATGAATGAAAGAGTGAATTGTCTGCAAGCCCAACCCAAGGGATAGTTTGTAGATGCATTGCTTGTGGGGACTAGGGAAACACCCGAGGTCACTCAGAGTTGTCAGGGTGTAGCCAGACAACTGGCTGAAGAGAGCCAGAATTCAAGTGACCCAAGTGTGCCCTGACACCTGGCTGAGGGAAGGATGTGTGCATGGACACTGCCTCGGGGAGCCCTTCCCCAGACCCCTATGTGGACTTAGCTGACATGTTGCACATTCGTTCCTCTGGCTTCCTCTGCTTCACTCTCATAACACTGACCACAATTAATGGTAATTATGTATGGAATTGTCAGTCTTTCTGCAAACACCGTGAACTCCCTGAGGAGGGCAAGGGGGCAGTGCCTCTTTTGTATCCCTACCCACCTAGCCCAGTGCCCGGCACTTAGGAGGAGCTCAATATAGATTTGAGGAATGAATGAACAATTGTATGATAGAGTCTTTAAACAAAGCAAAGCCAGAGGGCGAGAATTTGTCCATGCATCTTCAGTATTGTCCAGTGTCATGGGTAGCCTGACCTGTTCTAAACTTTGCCCAGGAAATTCCTAGAAAGCAGATGAGTCATTATGTTCTTCCGATAGCCAGGTGACAGTGGCTATCAAGATCAAACAACTAAGTCCCCTTGCTGAGACACCATGTCCACCAGGGAATCTTCTGGTTGTATGTCCTTTAGGGCAGAGAATGCACTGCCCAGCTGGTTGGAGCGACTAGGGCTGCTTTTGCAGGCATGCTTCTCTTTTAAATGACCCATGGACATTCTGGGCTACCCATTGGTCCAGTGTGAGTTTTATTAATGTGAGTTAGTATCCCCTGAGTCTGACCTAGTTTCCACAGTAACACTTGGTTTTCCCACAGGTGATTTGGTTTAATTCTTATACCAAACATATAGGCATGTTACTGTCATTTTTTGATGAGAAAACTGAGTTGACTGAAGTGAAATCACTTATCCAAGATCACAAAGATCTGAATGGAAGAGGCAGGAATCTAACTTGGCTAAAATGGCTTCAAATCCTCTGCTTAGTCTACGATATCATCTTAACCTTTGAGCCTGCGAAGCTAAGGATGAGATCCTACAAAAGACCATACCTTTTAGATACCATTAGGCTCCCTTGCTGGTATAACTCCTAATGTAACCTGGATGAAGACGTCTGGGGCCTCCAGGATACATGCTGGAATTGGAAACTTGTTGTTTGTCCTCCTCAAAACTTTTCTACTGTCTCAGCAAAATTCTGGGCAGGTAGCCCTTGCATTATAGGGGCAGTAGGGATAGACGAACCCAGAGATTCCTCTGAAGTCACCAAGGAAGATGGACAGGGGCCTCAGAATCTGGGGCTGGTCATTGGTGGGAGGCCCAGGAAGGAGGAAACCAGATCAGAGGCTAGGGAAACAGAAGACAGAAGGGGGAGTGCCCCGATGGCTGAAAAGGCATCTTAGGGGTATCTTGGGTAGAATTAAAGTGTGGACAAATTTAGGGTTGGTGGAGGGAACACAAAGATATGGAGAGATAGGTGACAGAAATAGAAACACAGAGAAAAATGATGGAGACAAAGACTCAGAAACAGAGAAAGGAGCCAAGGACACATTAACAGCCATAGCAGCTCAGCCTAGAGTTTTGCTAAATCATTTGTGTTTCATGATGAAAGCGATGAACAGCAACCCTATGCCTCTCTCTGGAGCAGGAGAGAGAATCCTTCGGAAGCAACCTACTTCACCCCCAGCCCTAGGGTGGGATGCTGCATTCATTCATTCATTTATTCATTCACTGGAAACCCCTTATCAAGTGCCAGGATCCTGTCCTGGGGAAAATGAAATAAATCAGACACAATCTCTGTCATGAAAATATCTCACAATCTGGTGAGGAAGACAGGAAGGCGAAGAAACCATTGTAGCATGGAACATAGGGTGCTATGGGAGTACAGGGGAGAGGTGCCCAGATCAGCCCTCCAGCGGACAGAGAAGGAGCCGGGAAGTCTTCCAACAAGAGGAGGGCAGGAAGCTCAGTCACAGCTGTAGCCTGGACACCTGAGCTATAGACCCCAGGTGGGGAAGGACTCCCAGGAAGAAGTAGGATGGCGGCTGCCCCTGAAAGCACTGTTTCTAGAAGGGATTTCCAGCTTGTTCCCAAGTCCTCTTTGACTTCTGAACGCACCCAAGATTCTCTGCCTTAAAGCCCATCCCTGTGTTCCCCTGTGATCCAAAGCTTGCGACCACACACACACACAGTCACACTGAACAGTCACACGTAACACTGAGTTATGCAGATAAACCCAAAGTATTCCTAAGGTTCCCTCCTGACACATCTCACCTCTGAGCTGATCTTGCTAAGAAACAGCTATTTTTCAGATGAGCAAACTCAGGCTAGACCTGCAAAAAGGAGACAAATTCTGCCACCTCTGTCTATCCTTGAGCCTCTGGTCTTATCTGCACCTGCTGGCTTCTTGCACGTGTGCCCTGTGTGGGTGCCAAGGGTGTGGGCAGAAACATGTTTTGGGCAGAGCAGCCCAATGACTTAAGCAAATACCTTAAGGCTAAAGACAGCAAAGTCTTCACCACCCTGCCCTGCAGTGGCAGGATCTGGCCTGGCCCTGCGCGGCTGCCAGTTTCATGAGTGCTTGAGGACTGGTGGGACTGCAGAGGTACCCAAGGAGAAGCGAATCCTCACTTCTCTCCCCTGGGAAGCCCAGGGGCTCAAGTACCCCAGCTGTGAGTATCTTAGGCTGGTCAGGAGACATGGAAGGCAAGGTGAGTAGGGTGATGCCAGCCAGTGCTTGGTCTTTCAACACAGGGAACTCCTAGCATGTGCCCAGCACTGTGCTAGGCACTGGGCACGCCAGACCCAGTGAGAACCAGTCCTTGGGAGATCAAGACCCTGGCAGGAGCAGGCAGAGGAGGCTTCTAGAATACACACAATGACAGAGCTGGGGGACAATATGTTAGGAGGAAGCTTAGGGTGGACTCTGAGGTGGCGAGGGTCTGGACAGTTCTTGTCTGGAGACAGTCAGGTCAGCATTGACCATGATCCCTGCACATCTGAGGCCGGAGGAAAGGACGTGGCACAAACCATAGAACGGGAGACAAGGAAGGGGCCTTAGGGTCCATCTGGTTCACCTCCCTCATTTTACATATGAGGGGGCCAGGGACCTGCCCAAAGTCACCGAGAGAGAGATAATGGCAGAGCTGAGGAGATGGCTCAGGTCGGTGCCTGCTTCAGGACCCCATCCTATCCCTCCACCCTGGCCCTGGAGCACAAACCGAGCCCTCTCTCCACAAAGAGGGCAAGAAGTCATGTGGGGACCTCCTCCCACTCCCCATTCGGTCATTACCCAGACACACCCTGGGCTCCGAGGTGGGCATATGCCAGCTGCCGCTGCAGAGGGACTGTTCTGCCCATCTGAACTCGGCACTCCTTTAGGAGTGGTTTAGGGTTGGGGTTGGGGGTGTGGGGGAAGCAGGTCTGCAGTGTCAGGGCTTGGGAGCCCAGGAGGATACAACTCCTAGGTGGGCGGGTCCTGCAGCTTCTAGAAAGAGGAAATGATTCTGCTCAGAACCAGAAATTGGCCTGGGTGAGGGTGTTCAGGGCAGTTCACACTGCCCTGGGAATGCTGAGACTGGGGCTAGAGCTAAGGAGGAGGTGAGTTCCAGGTGGTTAATGTTGACTGATGGGCCTCCTGGCTGCAATCCTGACACCGGGACCTTAAGCCAAGCACATATTAACCTGGGTGTAGGGGCTGCTTCTAAGCAGGGGATGTAGACCCCCAATTCAGGGAGAACTGAGAGAGCTGGAGAAGCATGGAATTGAGAATCTTGGGCACCAGGCCTCACCCTATCTCTAGGATCTGGCTTAGGCAGCGAGGGTATTATGGCAGAGGTGGTTTTTCTGACTGCAGTAAAGTCATAGGAAAATGATACCTTCCCATCTCCCTCTTCCTATTCCACATTCTCCAGGAAAGAGTCTGAGACTGGAAGGTGCCTAATACCCACCACCTGATCCAATCCACCTGACTCTTCCTCCCTGGTGACTCCTGACCACACAGACCTCTGTTTTCTGAGTGCCAACAGCTGTGCAGTCTGAACCACACTGCCGGCGGAAAGTGAGGTATTCTAGGTCTTCTAGGTTAGTTTTGTCTCCCAGTGGTTCCTTGAGGCCCGGGACTGTATCACAAGCACTTGTGAGACATCAGAATGTACTGGAAGAAAGAAAACTTTAGCCTCAGATCTTAGCTCTGGGGTTTGCTAGTCATGAGACCTGGGGCAAAGTATTAAACTCCCAGGCTCAATTTATTCATCTGTGAAGGGGGCTGAGTGGCAAAAAAGGAGGTGCGGTTGTAAGGTGAATTCCTTTCCTTCCGGCACAAAGACAGGGCCCAGGAATGACCACTAGTGGCATGGCCATCTGCTTATCTCCATCATCTCTCTGACAGTGCAGTGTAATCAGCCCTTCAGCCATACCCCAGCTAGGCGAGGCCCTTCTCAACTGCACAATGAATGGCCCTTGCTCCCTTGTCCCAGGGAGCCAGGAGTGCAGAGCTCCTGTTTGCAGGTCTTGCCTCACAATCTCCCAGAGATGCAGCCAAGTGGCAGAATGGGTTCCAGAAGGCTCCCCACCCAAGCTTCTCCAGCAGAGCAAAACCATGGTGGCAGTACCTGCACCTGAGCCCTGGAGCCCCAGCCCCCTCTGCCTTTTCTCCTTTTGGAAGGTGCCAAGTGGAAAGGGTGTGAGTGAATGTGTGTATGTGTGTCTGCAGTGTGAATTTTGAACAAGAGTGAGAATGCTTTTCTAAAAGAGAGGGGGACCTGTGTATGTAGTACACCTTTCCTCTTCCTCCCTCCTCACCTCCACATGCTCCCTGGTGACCAGTGGACCTTTGCCTAGCCGTGGATGCAGCTGAGCCCTCTCACCTTCTAGTTACCTGGAGCTTTCCTGCCTAAGGAATAAACCAGACTCTCTAGAGCCAGACCCACAGGTGTAGGCAGCTTTTGCAAGAACAGAGTCTTGTAGCAGGGGCTGCTCCAGTTCACATTGGAGGGAAGGGAGTGTGGAGGGGCATGTGTCTACCATGAGAGTTTGGGGGACAAGTCCAGAAATTTATCAGCACCCCTCTGCAAAGTAAACCTCCTATTGCTGTGGGGTTTTTTTACCTGCCAAGGTCAGGGTACTTAGTTCCCTGATTCTACCCTCCCCCTTTCCAGCAACCTTGCCAGAACTGATCACTGAGGGCTAAGGCGGAGCTGGTAGCAGGGTCAAGGATAGGCTTGCAGCCCTAGAGAAGGGGCATGTCCACCCTAGGAAGGAGACTGGAACCAAGCCAGGGCTTTAGTCTGGGACACACTCAGGTGCCCTGACCAGCCTAAACTCCACTCTCCAACTGGGATTGGAGTCAAGTGTGAACTGTGCATGGGATTCCCTGAGCAAAGTGGGCCCAGTGTGAGGGTAGAGGAGGAAAACAGGGACTGGCCTGCTGGGACCTCAGCTGGGGCCATTTCTCTGGGTCTCCCGGCACAGCAGGCAGGCCCTAGGTAGGTGTGACAAAGGCTGGCTGAGTGGCGCTGGGGTCCAACCCTCAAGAAGTACCTTCACCCCCAGAGTACAGGAAACAGGTCACCGAGTGAGTGGGTTCTTGGTCAGCTGGGGCTAATTCCTGTCAGCCCTCCAGGACTGTGCTCTGGCCTGGCCTGCTCAGAGGGCCGCATTGTTCCCTGGGAGCCTCTTGAGCATTTAGCTTGTCTTGTCCTGCTGGTACATTCATTGGCTGTGATTCCTGCTGAAGACATCTTCGGGGGCAGGCAGGACGCCAAGCTTGCGGGCAGGACTTGAGCTGTTCCACCGAGCAGGGAGCTCAGAGGCAGCAGGGACTCGCCAGCCTGGGATGTGACCATCTGGGGCTGTTTGCCAAGGGCAGGAGCAAGTTTGCCTGAGAAGTTCTGACACCCCCACTGGCCCTGGCAAGGAGACTGAGTGCAGGCTCTGTGTGCAACCGGAGTGTCCTGAGATTGGCTCTGTCCCCCCCAGAAACAAGCTGTGTGATTATGGGTGAGTTAATAAACTTCCCTGAGCTCTTGGCCTCCTCATCTGCAAGATGTGGGTACCAGCAGCACCTACCTCAGAGTGACTTTGGGAATATTAAACAAAGTAATGCATGAAAAGCACTTAGCTCAAGGTCTAACACTTCTCAGCCCCAGAGGGCCCAGCCCACTAACACTGCCCTTTCTCTATGCCCTCTCCCCATCCAGCTTGGATGGAATGCTCTCCCTTCTTGCCTCGGCTTCAGCACTTCAGCTAAAGCCACATCTCCCTGATGACTGCCGTGTGCTCTGGTTGTACCCACACTCCCACAGCACTCTCAGGTGGTAACTGCAGTTAGATACTTGACCACATGTTGTCAGGGATTTGGCTCTAATGGGAGGCTTCATTCCTGGAGCATAAGATTTGGGATGTTTGCTTGTTTTGTCTCCTTTGCGGACCAAAACATACTAAGCATTTTAACAAGAGTGCTTACCTGTTGACTGAACGTCCCATCCTGAGTCCTGCCCCTGGGCAATTAGAATAACCATAATTTATTGTGGTTGTAGTTATGCTCTTTGGAGATCCAAGGGTTCCAAAGATGTGCTTCAGTTGCAGCCACACCCCACCAGCTGGTGAGCTCATGTGATTGCGACTTACCCACATTTTGCTGGCTTGTGTCCCCTCCCTCTGACTCAGAGCTCGTGTCCTTCCTCAGCTATAGTTTGCCGTGGTTATGCTTGGGAGTCTCTGGGGTGTCTCTGGGTAGACTCTTCTGCTCCAGACTTGTTCTTACTGTCTCTTGCCCATGGGTCATGAAGACAGGGTCCCTCCTGAGAATTCTGCTCTCCTGCTCTGGTGCCATGTGCCGGAGCTCCAACCCTTGAGGGCCCAGCATCTCAGGGCACACTATGACCAGCTGCCACATCATGTACCATGCAGAAGTGTGGGTCGTGGCATCTCTCCAATCTGTGTCACACTGTGTTGTCCCAACCCTGATGGTGCTATGGTGCAGACTGCTAGCTATCCACCGTCAGAGACTGCATTGTGGTAGGACACGTGGTGGCCAAGTGGGACTCTACTTTCCAGCCTTCCTTGTAATGAGGTGTGGCCATGTGGCTGAGTCTTCACTGGACTGTGGAATGGAGAATGAGGCCGGCCACTTACAGGTCTGGGTCTTGAGTTGTTGGGCATGCTTCCTGCATGCCCTCTCCTCTTCCTGCCAGCTGGAGCCTAGATGTGGTGGGGACCCAGATTTCACTATGCATGATAACAATGGCCTGGCAAGTGGGAAAGCAACAGGGGGAAGGAACCTGGGCCTGTGAATGACCTCAGGAAGCTGAGAATGCCAGCAGCCAGGACTGCTCACTTTGAGACTCACTAGTGTCCCAAGAAGAGAAAAACTCCTATATTCTGTAATCTACTGTATTGAGGTTCTCTTTATAATGGGACATTAGTCTTTAACACACACATGGGTCCTGAGTCTCATTAAGTCCCTGGTGAGAACAGCTCTTTCTGCTTCTGCTGTAGTCCTGCACCGTCCCCCCAACCCCCTCTCTAAGGGCTGGATGGAACCCAAGGGCCTAGCTGGGGAAAGAGGTCATAGAAGCCCATTTCCTGAGTTCTTCTCTGCACCAAGGGATTTGATCACAGGGACTCTTCCTTTCCTGTAAATAGAGGTCTGGAGGACCTTTGATTCACTAGCTCATCAGACCTACCCAGACTCTGGATTCTAGTATAGGGTCTTCCAGGTCACCTAGCCCTGTGCATCTTTAACAATGGAAGCTTGGTAATTAATGCCCCAGCATAAGTTAAGCCTCATTGGATGAGGGCATAGTCTTCCTGCTTGGCTCACCTCTGTCTCCTGCTTAGAGTGAGAAGAGAAAGCAAGCATTGGAGGTCTTTTGGATCAGGAAAGAACCCTGTGGGTTTAGTAACTTCCAGGCCCCTCTTATTGTCTCTTATAGTAAGCAGGTGATAGATGAAGTTGTGCTACTAATCGAGGTTAAGAAAAAATAGTGCTTTAATAGTTCCTTGCATTTGTAGGGCACTTAGAGTTTATAGAGTGCTTTAGTATGCATTATCTGAAGCTATTTATCCCCATTTTGCATATGTGGAGACTGAGGATCCGTTACCCCCACCTAGGATATGCCCAAGCTTGGGTTAGCTCTCAGGGTTCCTGACTTCTAGCCTTGTGCTCTTATTTCTATACACTGCCAGGCTGAAAAATGATGGTTTGTGACTTACACTCAGGAAGTTGTGAACATTGAGGATGGCTTCGAGAAGAGGGAATTGTGTTGACTTTGGGGGAGACATTTCACCAACTGAGGTCTCAGTTTCTTCTTCTGTAAATGTGAAAGACATGCCGGCCTCTCCCAGACCAAGTAGAGAGTTTGTTGTTGTCACATACCTGGTTCCTATTCCAATTCCTGCCCTTACTCTAAGACTGTAAGGTAAATTGTTCTGTGGGCTTAGATTTGTCTGAGGAAGTTGGGGTTTGGGGAGGAAGAGGTGTCCTGGGGCTGCTGCTTCCAGATGGATTAACCCAAGGTGAACCACACTAGGCTGTCCTCTGGGTGGAGAAGTGTCATCTGAGACAAGTCCTTAGCCCAGGGAGACTGGGGTGGGGGTGGGGTGGGGACTTGCTCTTTCACCTCAAGTAGCCCAGCCACACCAGGTGCCTGGGTGGAGTGTAGGATAAAGGGCCAGTAGGGAAGAAAGGTTGGTTTGACCCTAGTGCACCTGATTTTGCTGCCCCACCAATTACACAAACACAGCCCTGCACACCTGACATGAGCACACCCAGATCAAGAACCACAGACCCCAAGCCCCAGGCCCCTCAGCTTCTATAGAAAAGCAGCATGCAGGATTCAGGTTAGACACAAAGGAAAGCTTCCCAGGGTATGGGTATTAGATCAGAGACTGGATGGTGTGGAATATTCTGAAGGGTGTATGATAGTTTCTATAAACATAAAAAAAATGCTTATCCTCTGGTGAAGGGGGTGGGGGTGGGGCTGGTAGAGACAGTTCAAGTGGACTTGCCTAGAAGTAGCTGGATGAATAATGTGTAAAACCTTACTGGTGAAAGCCTTCAAGCCCAGGCAGAAAGAAAAGCAATGAAAGAATGAAGCAAGAGGCACATAGGAAATATACCCCTTGCTTATGTCTATGCCTGGGAGTGGGAGAGAAAGAGCATTCTTGGCTTTGAATACAGAGAAGGGGGGCTACTTGCCTGCTGGGCAAGTGGTTACCTGGGAAGCAGGACCCTTTGGCTCTCAGAACAGTGAAGTGGTGGGGGGTCTGTGAGATGCAGATTTCCATGTGTCTGGCGGTCCAGTGACATCTACAGCAGTTATTGGGACTGCCCAAGCAAATGAACACAGGGGATAGTGTGAGAAGGAAGCCAGGGAGGAGAGCTACAGAACAGCTGCTGGCCTCTGCTCCACCAAAGCAAACAAACCAAGGCCTTGGGAGAGGAGCTGAGAGGGTCCTACGGAGGTAGGATGATTCTCTGCCCCTAATTCTTCCTATCTCCACATTTTATCATGAAAAATTTTTCTCCAACATATAGAAAAGTTGAAAGACTTCTATGATGAACATCGTATACCCACCACTTAGAGTCTTCCCTTAACATTTTGTTCTGTGTTGCAGAACACATATCTACCCAACTACCCATTCCTCTATCCATCCATCGATCCCTTGTATTTTTGGAAGCATTTCAAAGCACGGTGCAGACATCAGTAGCCATTTAGGCCAATACTTCAGCATCATATCATTAACAAAGTTCAATATTTGTCACAGTTATTTTTTTCTATGGAGATAAGTTTTACATACAAGGAAATGCACAATTCTCCAATGTGCCATACATGAGTTCTGACAAACGCCTACACCTGTGCATCTCAAATCCTTATCAAGGTGCGGAACATGAGGATGACTCCAGAAAGCTCCCCCATGCCCAATAAATCCCTGCCCCATCCCCAAGCGACAACTGTTCTGATTGTTTTTTTTTCTACCAGATTTAGTTTTGCCTGTTCTATGACTTCATCCATATACATGAAATCATACAATATGTACTTGGGTGAAGGTTTCTTCCCTCAGCATAATGACTCCTGCAGTCTTTGGCAAAGAGTCTGCTTTATAAAAAGCCAGACTTTTCTTTTTTTTTTAACCACCAAAAATCATGTCCCCAAATCTAATCTTCATTAAGTCTAGGGAAGCTGTGTTTACAAGGGCATGGTCAACACCCCAGAGCACTCATACTGTTTGTCCTTGATCACCTGAACATAAACAGGGCTGAGCCAAGAGACATCTGTGAGCTGGGCTGTTTTTCAGTTCCCAGCCTCCTGTTTCTGCTACTAACTGCTCTTTAGGGCACCACCTGCCCCCAGCCCCATGGGCTATTCCCACTCCAGGCAATAGGGCTCTGCCTTCTTCATGCCCTCCTCCCCCTCCCTAACAAAACCAGAAGGATCTGCTCCCAGCCATTTACACTAGATGACTGATAGTCCCGGTTACACTGTAACTGTACCGCCTTCCACTGAGGTGTTGCCTCTACAGGGTATTGACTTGGGTTTGTCTCCAAATGCGACCCGATAGGCTCCGCAGCCCTGCGCCTCTTGGACTTCCCCCGAGGCTCATCTAAGAACAGGGAGCCGTGGCTGTGTCTCCACAGGAACGCAAAGGTGCAACTCAGCGGCACTCAGTGGGCGCAGCTTCATTCTTAGACACAACCCATAGACAAAGTGCAGAAGACTTAAAACTGTGATGATATAAAAGTAATGCTGTGGCTCACAGAAACCTGGAGGAGGGGCAGAGGATATAGATTCCCACATCCCTCCCAGAGGCGGGGTGATAGGCTTTATCTAGAGCTGATGCATTAATAATAAGAAATAAGGAAAGGAAGGAAGGAAGAAAAGAAGCAAGGAAGGAAGAAAGGAAGGAAGGAAGAAAGGAAGGAAGGAAGAAAGGAAGGAAGGAAAGGAGGGAAGGAAAATAGATAGATAGATAGATAGATAGATAGATAGATAGATAGATAGATTTATTTAAAGATATTGAAAGTCCCAAAGGCAGCAACCAGAAGACCCAAAATAACAAAAATTAGGAAAAGGGAGAGGAGAGGTTGGAACAGTTTCAGGAGATGTGTCATTGAAGAATTATATATTACCTCAAAAGTGCATGTAAGCTGGGTACAGTGGCTCATGCCTGTAATCCCAGATACACAGGAGGCAGAGGTGAGAGGATCACTTGATGCTGGGAGTTTGAGACCAGCCTGGGCAACCTAGCAAGACTGCCTTTCTTTCTCTCTTTCTCTTTCTTTCTCCCTTCCTTTTCTTTCCTTCCTTCCTTTCTTCCTTCCTTTCTTCCTTCCTTTCTTTCTTTCCTTCTTTCTTCTCTTTCTTTATACAGGGTCTCACTAAATTGTCTGGGCTGATCTCGAACTCCTGGGCTCAAGAGATCTGCTCCCCTCGGCCTCTCAAAGTGAGCCACTGTGCCCAACTGATCCTGTCTTTAATTAAACAAAGTGCATGTGGATGAGGCATCCACTCCCCACTATGCCCAAGTTTATCTGTGATACGAAAGCAGTTCTCCCCTCCCCACCTTCGAGTAAAACCGAGGCCCTAGGTTCTGTGTCACAGTTTTCCCTTCACTTGGAGTTCCCTGACCCACCATGGCATGGCTTAGCGGGAGAGGCACAGCTTTTGGCAAAGGCATTTTAGGCACTGATGGGAAATGACAAATGGTATATGTGGCCTGAGGGACCCAGAAAATTGCTCTTAGTCCATCCTGCTGGTCCCGAAGGGAAACCCTAGTTGTTCCTTTTATCAGGGCTTTGGTTGGAAGAGGGGGTGTTCCTCCTCCCCAAATGGCCTCTGCCCCTGGGGAGGCTGACTGAGCCACAGGAAGCTTGCTTCTGAAGCAACTCAGAGTGAAGGGGTTCTGGTTCTTTCTTCACTGGCTCTCTTGGCGTCAGGAGGCCACCAGAAATGGGCACAGAGCTACCTGCTGCCAGCCTGTTCCCTCCAGTCCTTCCCTTCCAGACCTAGGCTCCCTTCTCCCTCCTGCCCTAACCCTGTGGTTGTTCCTCCAGCCCCCATCTTCATCTTAACCACAGTTAGGTTTATCTGACTTGGCTGTATTTCAGAACCTTCTGGAGGAGTTTTTAAAAATACAGATTCTTAGGCCTTATCCCAAGAAATTCAGGTTGACTGTGCCTCGGTGGGACCTGGTTGTGAGCATTGTGTAAAAGCTCCTCAGCCGCTTCAAGCACACAGCTAGGTCAGCGGAGCCCTGCCTTACCCCCAACCCTGCCTTCTTTCCCCACTTGCCTCCCAAATATGTGTTCTGTGTTTTCTGGCACACATGACATGACTTTGATTGGTAATTGATGATTTTCCACATCATCACTTTTAAAATCAGATACTCTCTGAAACGTCCCTCTGTCTGCCTACTGTTTCTACCTCGTCCATGAGGCCCATCATCTTTATCAGCAGTGTCACTGTAGAAGACTCATCCCTGTCTCCCAGAGCTGCTCCTAACCTCTTGAGGCTCTAGAAGGCAGCCCTGAGCTGGCAGAGAGTGCAGCTCTACATTTTTCTAGCCAATAGCAAAATGGTCACACTGGGGCCTGGCTCCATGTGCGTCTCGGTCTCAGCCCCAAGTCAAGCCCCTCTTCCTCTGAACAACTGGATTCTTCCAATCTTTTTTTGGGGAGACTCTCCACAGTCCCCAAGGTGAGAAGAAAGTATTGGTTATGTACATCAGCCAGAACCCCTAGCTTGTCCGCAGGCACTGTATTTCCTTACTGAGCTCATATTAAGCAGTGGAACTGATAATACCATCTCGGCCTGTGACTTCCACGCATGAAAATATGCACCAACGAACCTGCATTAAATGGTTGGGAAATCACCCCTCCTAACCATTCCACGGCATCCACTGTAGGAAAAAAGAAAAAAAAAAAAAAAAAAGAAAAGCGGGAGACTGAACAAACAAGCTTTAGGATGAAGATGATAACCCCAAAACAAAATTCCAAGCACCAGTGAAGAAGAGGTTATTCTGAATTGGGGATAGTGTTGTCACTCCTCAAATTGCAGCCATTTCCTATGGGACACACTGAATGGAGAAGAAACTAAATGTGTGTGTGTTTGAATGACACACCTGAGTTACAGTTTGCTAGTTATTTCTGCCTCCTCTGGCAAAGGACAAATAGAGGATTTTCTAGAGAAAAATGATGGAAGTCCGAAGGAGTCATCACTAGGTGCTTTGTCCTTTTTGTATTCTAGTTGCACCCACCTCTTGGATTGGATATAGCAATAACATTTATTGGCCGTTGTGAGCTCTTGATCCCAGTCATTACCCCTGAGAACTAAAAATAGATGGTTCTTAATTCAACTTACTGAAAATTTCCCCAAACAATAGCAAATCTGACTTTTCCCTCTTCAGTTGCCTGGTATTAAGGTTGGATAAATGAAGCATGCACAGCTACAGGCTTTCTACTTAACTTCTGGGTTTGCTATTACAAATCCTATTTACTCTCATACCCTTCTCCTTAGTCCTTCATATTTCTCTGCCTCTATTCTTCTATACTGCAGATTTTTCTCACCTATTGTACAAAGAAATTGCGATGTATATTTTCATGTAATTTGATTTTGGAATTCTGTCACCTTATGTAGTGAGTTCTTCCAAAATATAATTTTTTTTCAATAAAAAAAAAAAAAAAAAAAAAAAAAAGAAAAATGATGGAAGTCTGTAAAAACTCATTTGAAAGGTCAAGATTTTTTTTTTTTTTTGCAAATGACCTTGTTCAAAGAGCTTCAGGCATTTTGTCCTTTAGCAGTCCAGCCCAGGTCCAGGCTGGAGAGTGAGATGGTGAAAAAAGTCAGAGGTCAAGAAAGACAGCCCAGTTAGAAACCCCTGATGCTGCTGGTGGGAACCACCTCTCAGCCTCACTCTAGCATGACTCCTGCCCAAAGGAAGATGAGAGTTTTAGCTTGGGATCGGGCGGCGGGCAACCAGAACCCCAAAGATCTGCTTACTCCCTGGAGCTTTAGCTAGAAGACATCAGTTTGAACTGACTGACATCTCCCCCCAGCCCCCTGGGTCTGCCCTGCAGCTTCCCAGGAAAGGAATCGCCCAATTAATGAACACCCCAGGCCACTGCCTGGAGGCTGGTGTCAACCTGCTGCTTCCCTGGGTCCAGAGACTTGTGACAGCTCTCTGGCTTTTCTCCTCCACTCCCAGCAGTACCGCCTCCAATTTTCTGTTCCCAAACATCACGCTTCTCAAAGTTCCATCATACAGAGAATGCTCTTTATTAGTTATATATTTTTCTGCTTATGAAAGTAATTTTTTGCCCACTATAAAAATTCAAACAAGATAGTAGTGTGCAAATAAAAAAGCACGTCTAAATAATCTCATTTTCCTCAGATAATCCGCCTTAGCAGTTGGGTGTACACCCTTTCAGATCTTTCTCTTAAGTGTGTACAAACAGCTTAATGTGCCAAGCTGTTTGTTTCCCCACACCTTTGACCATACTGTCTGCCCTGCTTCCTGGAATGCCCTTTCTTCTCTTTTGCCAGGCTGACTTCTGCACAGCCTTCTGAACTTAGCAAACTTTCTCTTTCTGTCGTCCCCCAGCCTGGAACAGGTACCTTCCCCTGGGCTCCTTGACCCCTTGCACAGCGCTGTCATAGCACCCAGCACAATGAGTGATCAACTCCTCTCTGTTTAACCATCTGTCTCCCCGACTAGAATATAGTATAGGTTAGTGGCCAAGAGGTGGGGGCCAAGGTGGACCCCAGTTCCCTCCCTAGGTGCCCCAGCCCCTCTGGCTCTGTCTGACTGTCCCATTCACTTTAGCATCCTCAGTGTCTAGCACACTGCCTAGCACATGGTTGGTGCTCAACAGGTATTTGTTGAATGAGTGAGTGAGTGAATAAGTTCTGGGTCACCACAGGTGTCCCCACCATGGGGCTCTTATATACAGGTAGAGAGCTGCAGAGAGGGGCAACCACCCAAAAGCAGAAGAGCTCCATGTTGCTGAGCCCCAAAAGTTGCCAGTAACTTACACTAGCTGTGTAACCTTGAGGGAAGTCCTCTCAGGATGCAATGAGAATAAGAATTTATAAAGTGAGGCTCCCTCCTACCTCCCACCGTGGCTACACTCCCACTCCCACTTAGGAGGCAAAGAGGCCCTTTCCTCAAGCCCAGTGAAACACTAAGAGCTCAGGTCTCTAATAAAGCTTGGCATGCTTGGCTCCCAGAGGCAGAACTCCAGACGTACCTGCTGTGTGACCTTAGGCAGGTGCCATAACCACTCTGAGCCTCCTCCTGCAACAGGAAAATTAGAATGCACTCAGTAATACCTATGTCACAGGTTAGGGAGGAAGACTAAATTAAGTGTGAACGTTGGAGGCTCTGTCAATTCCATAGCTGTTTGTTCTACCTCCCCCCAACCCCAGGCGGTTCAAAGTAAGATCAGGGTTCTAGAAACCTGGACTTTAGCTCTGCCCCTCAGCCCAGGAGACTATGGGTGCATCTGTGCTGTTTCCTCATCTGTAACATGGAGCCAGGAGTGTTGGACAAGATGGTTCCGAAGGCCCCTTCCAGCCTCTCACATTCGAAGTGCTCTGAAAAGTAAAATGTTCTGCAAAGTGCCCCAAGTCCTTGGGCTATCATTTGGTTGTGAGAAAATAGGCTCTGCCAGTGGCCAGCTCTCTCGCACCATAGCCCCTGCCAGTCAGAACTGGGAACACGGAGACTGGCAGGCCACCAGCTGGAACACCCCTGACCCTGGATTTCTGTGTTGGGGACTGTGACACTACCTGATGCTGCTCCTTCCCAGTCCCCAGCAAGGGACAGATGTGAGGACAGTTTGTGTTGTGCGTCTTTTGACTTTTTTGGAATGTGATTTTGCTTTTGGGCAGTGTGGGGTCTAGTTGGGGAGGGAACACTGATGGGTGACCCTGATGTGGGGAGTACTCATTGAGCACTGCAGTCTGCAGGGGCTCTTGAGGGCTGGGGTTGAGCTGGGCTTTGAAAGGTGCTTATGATTTGGGTATGTTAGAGGGAGGGTGTGTTGTGGGGGGGTTGAGAGTTGGGTGTCCGAGGGCCAGTGGCAAGGCCAGGCTGGCTGAGGCTGAGTAGGCAGTGTCTATTCAACAGAGCAGGCATTGGATCGATCAAGCACTCCTCTTCTGGAGACTACCGGATACCACACAGAGGGGGGACAATGGTTGAAGACACCTTTATCTGGTGTCTCAAAGCTGAACTTATGGTAGAAACATAGTGATTATTCAAAGTGAGGGTTTTATACTAGGGGCCTCCACATGGCTTGTCTCATTCATCCTCATAGGGAGGCAGGGATTATGAGCCCCACTTTATAAATGAAAATCCTGGGGCCCAGGAATGCCAGTCGCCTGCCCCAGATCACAGGCCTAGTTAGCAGCAGAGCCAGAATCCCCAGCCCAGGACTCTGCACTTGAAGTTCTGAATACGAGGGTGTCTGGAACTCCCAGGAGCTTCTCTGGGGTGAGGGTGGGTAGGCAGCAGGCTTGCACAGAGACTGATTGAATCTAGAGGTTAGGGCTACAGGACTGGGGTGGAGTCTCCCCTGGATGGGGTGAAGAAGCAGTAGGGGAGAGTTTGCTGCTCTTCTTCGGGCTGGGGGAGGCTCAGGAGCCTTGAGCTGGGCTATCAAGTTCAGGGCTGGAGTGACTCCTGAGAAAGGGAGGCAGAGATGAGAGGGGCAACTGGACAGGCTAACAGATCCTCACTCAGGCTGGAGGTCAGCCACCACCTGCCCTTCTCCCCCCTTGATCCAGCAGCTAGACTTCTTCATCAACAAGAAAGCCAGTCTTTGCTGGTTTGGGGCCTGGGACCACGTGAAACATCGTGTCACTGAAGAAGCTGGGGCCAGGCCAGGCTGTGTCATTTCTTTTCTTCTCTGGGACTTTCCTACCCCTCCCTCCTCTGGCTTCCTGCTGTTCTGGGCCCAGAGCTGGGGGATGGTGGGAGAGAGTTTCACTCTCTTCAGTGGCCAGATCCAAGGTCCTGACCCTGCCTCTCCATCTGCCTCCTGTCTGATGTAGGCAGGATCTGTCCTCCTTGCAGGATCCATCTACCAAAAGACCAAATACCTTTGGTCTTTTGGGAAGGTGGTCCGGGAGCAGTGTTCCTGGACTGTCAGCATCCTCTGGGGAGCTTGTGAAGAATGGGCTGGCTGGACCTCATTCCAGGTTGAATGTTGGGGAATGGAACCCAGGAATCCACATTCTCACAAGCTCCCCCAGGAGTTCTTAGGAACAGTAAAGCCTAGATCCACCACATGAGATCATCTCTCCATCCCCTGGCTGGGGAGAGACTGCTCTCCCAGGATGCCAGGAGGGAGTGTGGGTTGGTGGCAGTAAGATAAGACTGGTTGAATGAGCAGAGTTTCAGAAACAGGCGGGAAGGCATTCCCCTGGCTGGATGCCCTTGAAGCAGAAAATTGCTTTCTTACCTCCTGGTCAGCCACTCCCATGCCACCCCCACCTCAGACTTCTTCACACGAGAGCCCTCTCCCTCTGGCAGAGCCAACCAGGAACGCGGAGGTTCAGGTTCAAAGAGGAAATCTGAGGAAGGGCTTGGAGATGGGCCAAGGCGAGAGCGAAGGAAGTGATGAAAGATATTTTTAGGATTACTTCTTCCAAAAAAGGCTGAGGAGGCACCTTATCACCATCCAAGAACTGGGAGAGGCTTATTTATTAGAGTCTTGACCAAGCAACTGGAGATTAAATGACAGCTGAAAGGACTCAGGTGAGAGGAGAGGAAGGGACCTGTGAGATACTGATATGGGTCCAGGAGGGAGCTGTGGACGCTCCCAGCCCGGTGTTTTTGGAGGACAGTTCGTTAGTTCATTCAGTTGCTCCTCAAAGGTGTTTTATTGTCTACTATGTGCCTGGCACTTGCTCAGTACAGGGAACAGAGCCATGAACAAGGGACACCTGATTCCTCCTTCATGAGCTGAAGGTCAGGGAGAGTGTCCTGTCTGTCTGGAAAGCCTTATTCTTGTCCCTGTCCACAGGCAGATACCTGGGTGGCATACACAGGTGTGGTTCTTGCTCAAACAGCCTGGCATGGCTTGGATCCCCAAGGGGAATTGGGAGGTGGGATAAGCCTCTGCCAGCGTTCCTGGGTGGGAGTGGGAAGTTGTGCCTGGCAGGCTGGATGCCCTTCTGTGGAGTCACTCTCCTTCCTGTGGGTGCCCCCTCCCCTGCCAACTGCCTCTCACTTTGTGCAGGGACATATCTAGAAGGCCAACTGCAGCCAGCTCTCAAGGATGTCACCTCCCTTCCACAGCAGCCTCCTATGTGACTAAAAGGCTGTGAGACAGCCATGCTGAGCAGCCCAGGCTGCCACCCAAGCTCTGACGTCCTGCTGGGGAAAGCTCCATTTCAGAGCGGGTGCCCCAGCCTGGCTTGCCAGGCCTGCAAGGAACCCTCCTCAACCCCGTGGCTGCTGGAGCTGCCTCGGCCCTGCTTTTCCCCGGCTGGACATCTGGTTTTCAGATGCCTCTTTTCATCACTGGGGTCCTCAGCTCACTTCAGGTGCCTCTCGGAGAGCCTGGTGGGGGTCAGGGAATTGTTTCTGCTTTGCCGTCTGTCTCTCAATATATCTGCCATCCCACTATTTATTTTTTGAGGGTTTCTATAGCCCAGCATTTCCAAGGGGGTAAGAGGAGCGCAGGAGAAGCCTCTGCTGCAGCCTCTCAGGGTGACCTGGATTTGTACATATGGCGCAATGATTCAAGCCCCAAATGATTCATTCTTTCAAGCCCCAAACCACAGGGAAATGGGAGTAGAACCCCGGGCACCCCAGGTCTGTGTCTGACTCCCATTCCTGAGTCACTGGTGACCTCTGGTAAGTTCCAGAACCTCTCCGGATTCTCCCTCTGTAAAATGGGAGGGTGATTTCTGTGATTCCCAGAACCAAGACAGGATGAGTAAAGGGGCGGGTGGGAATGATGGACTGGTTCACTGAGCACCTGTTATGTGCTGGGAGCGGTGCTGAGTACTTTATACAGTGGATCTCATTTAATCTTCTTAGCAGCCCTATGCAGTAGCACTGTTATTATTTCTACTTTATAGAAGAGGAAACTGAGGGGAGGGGAAATGAGTAACTTGCCCAGCAGTGAGTTGGAGTCGGCTCCCGGACTGTTGGACCAGGCTCCTTACTGGCAGTGACCAGGAGAGAGGAAGGGCAGGCAGGGGATTGTGGCCAGCGGCTCCCAGGCCCCAGGGTTGCCGCTGGAAGTTCCCGGGCCCAGAGATGCCACCTCTTCCCTCAGGCCTGGAAACAGGACCCCCATGTCCTCTGCCGCCCAGCGCTTGCTACAGAGTGGCCAACGGTTGCCTGCCAGAAAACACCTCTGTTTCTTCTCTCGCCCCAAACCGAGGTCTGTAACATCCCCTCCACATAACCATGCTCACACACCTCAGCTCCACACAACCCCTTTGCTGTTTTCAGAGCATTCTCCCGCTCCGTCTTTCAATGCTGTTCTTCCCATTTGCCAGATGAGGGGACTGAGGCCTGGGTTGGTTCAGAGACTCACCCAAGGCCACATGGTTGGTGGACTTTCATCCCAGCCTGCCCTTCACCAAACTGAGGTGTCCATATGGAAGGCCATGAAAGATTCTCGACCCTTCTCCCAGGGCCTTTCATGACCTAACACCCCTTGAGTCAGAATTCTGAGGACTCCAGGATGAGGCACAGCCCATACTTGCTAAATTCATTCAGTCATTCATTTATTCAGTCATATTTATCTGCCATGTTTAGGAGTTGTGTCAGAGGTTTTCGGCACGAAAATGCCTAGAGCTCAGAGGCTGGGATGAGGAAAGCAGAAAGTGAGTAGGCCGTTAAAATACCAGATGTGAGTGCTGAGGAGGAACACCTCAATTTGGGAGGCAAGGATGGCTTCCTAGAGGAGATGATGAGGTGAAGTCTAGGCTGAGACCTGAAAGATGAATAAAACTGGTCCCTGAAAATTAGGCAGGGAGTGGGAAGGAGGGATGTTTGGGGCACAGCAAACAGCATTCGTGAAGCCCTGATTGCAGGGGAGCTCAGCACACCTGCTGCTGCTTACTCAGCTCCAGTCCAGGCTTCCTCGCCATTGATCTTTGCATCTCCCAACTACTTGTGACCCCCGCCCACCCAATGGGCAATGGGCACATCCCCTCCAATGGGCAAACCATGGTGTGGGCATCATGGCATCTGCTCTGTCCACTGCCTTGGCACAGAGATGCCTCATCTGAATGTGGATCATCTCCTTCCGGGGGTAACTGGAGAAGAAGCAGCAGGTGAGGCGGCAGGTACAGTAGCGAGGAACATCCTGCTATTGGCTCTGTCCTGGAGACCGGCGGAAAGCCTTTGTCCCAGCGGCCTATAATGGGTTTCAGGAGAGAGCTTCAATATTTGCTGCAAACAGAAGCACAAAGGATGTGGAGGGCTATTGTGGGTTCTCTAAAGAGGAGCTAATCCTCCGGCAAGCAGCCCAGCCAGAAGGGGTTCAAGTGCTGGGTAGGCCAGCCACTGGGGGTGTTGTCATTTACGAGCAACTGCAGGAGATAATAGCGCCCAGGGAGACAACCTCTACACAGGTGGAGGGAGGTAGTGAGAGACACTCCCCACAGGAGGGCGGGTGAAGGGGGACAGCACCTGTCCTGAAAGCTCGGGAGCACAGGTGATGTTCCCCATACCCCCACGCACCCCAAGCCCCACGGCTGGGCCACCGCTCTCTCCAGGCCTGGCCTGTCTTGGCAGCTGTTCCTTCACTGGGGGTCATTTGTGTCTGGGGGTGGGAATGGGGGTAGGGGTCAGCCAGGGCTCTCAGGCCTCTCTCCCCTCTCCCTCCCTCTGGCTTTCTCTCCTGGCCTCTTTTTGGTCCACTGCACACAGACAAGTCATTTCTTGGCTCCAGGGGGCCAAGGAGAGGGAAACGTTATATTTGCATATCATTAGCATAAAGAGATTGTATTTGCATGACATCTATTTTCAGCTCCTCCCTCCTCCAAATCTGCCCCATCATCTCTAAATATGCTACATAAATGTCTTGTCCAGTCACCAGCACAAGGGAGTTGTGAGGGGTGGAGGGCTGTTGGGAAAGGGGTTTTCTTGTGGTCAGAGTGGAGTGAAGTAGAGCCCAAGGGAGAAATTGCAATCCCAGGAGTGGGAGAGATTGGAAAACTCAACTCTTCAAGCTTTGTGTTAGCACAAGGAGCTCGGTCAGGATCCCTCACTTTCAGACACCTCCAGGGGTGCAAAATGATGGGTTTGGAAAGAAGAGGGAGAAATGTGATTATTTACATAAATTTACATAATTTAATGTAATTCGCATGGGCAGAATTACTCAGTTTTTCAGACAGTTTTTAATTCAATCTTTTTGTTGCCTAAAGGCTCCTTCTTTCTTTGAGTTTTGTTTCCTTTGCTTCTGGTCAGCTTCCTAAGACGCAGATCTGCCTCCTCTCCAGGAGGGAGAAGTGGACTGGGTAGCAGCATGGTGCAGGGGGTGGGGAGGTGAAAATGGGCAGTGTAGACAGCTGAGGTCTCTGCCAGGTCCTGGCAATTCCACCTCCCTCCTCCACCATTCCACCCAGGATGCCCCAAAGATCCTCAGGTCTGGCATGTTCTCCTTAAGCCCACCCTGTGGGCTCTAATTTCCACTCACAGATGTGTGGGAGTGGAGCAGGGATGAGGGTGGTTTATCTGTTCATTTCTCATAGGGCAGCCAAAGCCACCCAGAAAGCCTGACTCTCAGGCCACATTTTGGCAGAGACCGACCTGCATCTAGAAATCAAAAGCCTTGCCCCCGAGGACAAGACACTGTCTTAAGAAGCATCCTCCGAGCCTCTCAACAGACACCCTGCCCCAAGCAGTTGCGAAGGGCCCCTCTTCTTCCAGGTTATGGGCCTTCTCTTTCCTTGGGTGGGAAGAGAAGGGGGAAGAAAACTGATCCTTCTCATAACAGAAGCCTGGAAGTCTACTTAGTGATTTCCATTGACAGCCAATTATGATTGTGTATAAGATAAAGGAGGCGGCCGGGCGCGGTGGCTCACGCCTGTAATCCCAGCACTTTGGGAGGCCGAGGCGGGCGGATCACGAGGTCAGGAGATCGAGACCATCCCGGCTAAAACGGTGAAACCCCGTCTCTACTAAAAATACAAAAAATTAGCCGGGCGTAGTGGCGGGCGCCTGTAGTCCCAGCTACTCGGGAGGCTGAGGCAGGAGAATGGCGTGAACCCGGGAGGCGGAGCTTGCAGTGAGCCGAGATCCCGCCACTGCACTCCAGCCTGGGCGACAGAGCGAGACTCCGTCTCAAAAAAAAAAAAAAAAAAAAAAAGATAAAGGAGGCTGGATTCAGCTGAAGCTAAGCTGAAGGGAAACACCTGCAAGTGCCATTTGCTGGCTGAATACCTTTTTCTGCTCCCAGCCTACTTCTACCTTCTCTAGCCCCTTCTTTTTCACTCTTCTCTCTTGTCTCCTAAACAAGTTTTTTGGAAAACATTGTTATAATAATTATTAGCAGGCTCTAATGTTATTTCAATAATTCATAATTGTTCCAAAACAGACCTCAGATCACATCGCTCTACTACCTGGAAAGCTTCAGTGGCTGCCTCCATGCCTGTCCCGGTCTGTCAGGGCCTGTATAGTGTGGACGCACCTTCCTCTCACTGCACCTCTTACCTCTGTCTCCCTTTCTTGGGACTCTCCAGGTGCACAGGCCGCCTTCTGCTTAGAGAACTTTCCCAACTCGTTCACACCTCAGCCCTTCCTCCCGGGTGTCTCGAAGGTCTACCAGCTCCTTGTCACTGCTCAGGGCTCAGCTCTGATGTCCCTTCCTCAGACAGGCCTTCCCCTACCTCCCAGCCTAGGTAGTCCCTTCCTGTGGATCAGACCCGTGCCCACCTTATTTACGTGATAACTTGTTTGTCCTATTTTTCACATGGACAGAGAACTCACCTGCTATCTCCATCTCTGTGTCTCCAGTACCTGGCAAAGCACCAAGAGCATGGTAGGTGCTCAAGCCAGATTTGCTGACTGGACAAGTGTGGATGAGTAGGGGGTTCGTGACAGATGGTGGATTTTGGAGCCTGTTCTGACTGTGTTTTTTTCGCTCACTGGTGAATGGCCATGGGCAGATTTCTCAGCTCTCTGGGCCTCCATTTCTCCCTTGGGACCTGGATAATAATAACTTCTACACTGAAGGTTAATTTCAGCATTGTACATAAGTGTCTGGTGGTAATTGGCACTATTAGGGACTCATTAAATCGTGATTATTAATACGAATAATGATACCTTTGTTTCACACTTACTCTGTACCAGGATCTGGTCCTGCCCTCAAATATTTAGTTTATTGGATGACACAGAGACCTGCCTGGCCTATTATGAAACAAGGGTGACTGTAGCTTAGAGGTATGAACAAAGCACCGTAGGAACAAAGAGGCAAGAGCAGTGAATGTACAACCTCTTCACGAGAATAGAGTTTTACGGTTTATATCCTATATGCACCTCTATAGTTCATTTGATTGCCCCCTAAACCTTTAAAGGAGGCAGGGCAGGCCTCAGTATCTACATTGTGTAATAGGAGAGCAGAGGTTCAAAGAGAAGACACCGTGGGCTCAAGGTCTCACTGTAGCCCCTCGCTCTGCTTTATTCATCTTCCACAGCATTGAATCCTCTGGACACCTTGTGTAATTGCTGGAATGCAAGCTCTGTGACAGCCTGTTTTGTTCACTGCTCCATGCCCAGCCCCTAGAACAGTACTGGCACATAGTAAGCACTCAGTAAGTGTATGTGGAATGAATGAATGAAGGACAGAATTAGTGAGTGGCAGAGCTAGGCTCAAACTTCTCAAGCAGGAGGGAGAAAAGCTAGTTAAGGGGACCAGTTTCTGGAGCTGGGCTGTTTGGGCTTGGATCTCAGCTTTGCCGCATAATAACTGTGCAACTTGGACAAGTTACTTAACTTCTCTGCGCCCCACTTTCCTCATCTGCCTAATGGGAATGATAATATAACACCTAGCTCATAAGAATATTGTGACAACTACCATGAGTTAACATTCATAAAGTGCTCAGAACATGTCTGGTACATAATATGCCTCAACACTTAAAGAGAAAATACTAGGTATCTTGACTCTAAATCCAGTATTCTTTCTCTGTACCAGGTTATAAAGAACTTTATAGTTTCAAAATCACCAATATATTCAAGGCTTTATTTTATCTTTTCAGCATCCTTGTGAAGTAAGCAATAAATCATTACTATTGCTATTTTACAGAGGAGAAAGTGGAATGAAGCTGGAAATGATAGGTCTGGCTTAAGGTCAAACAGAGGCTTTATTGTCTGACTTCAAATATACTTCTCTATCCATGATTCTGCAGGTAATCTCATTCCCCAGATCTAGCCTGAAAGAAAACAAACAAACAAGCCAAAGGGGGAAAGAAATCAGAGCCTAGCAGAGATTCTCAGACGGCCTAAAAGAAGGCCTATTTTCAGGGTTTGGAAATCCATTTAATTTCCTCTAATCATAGGCTGTCCTAAATAAGACCAAAGTTGCTGAGGGACTTTAAGGTCAAGGGAAACTCCTATAGATTCAAGAGGGACCAACCCAAGCCTGCAAACGTCTGGGGAGATACCTGCCAACTGGTGGCCTTTCCTTCCAACGAGCAGCTGCCTTCATGAGGAGCAGCGGGTAGGCCCAGAACGTGCCAGGTGCTGTGGGGGCAGGAAGACACGGCGAGTTCGTCCCGAAGGGATCTTTTGTCCAGTTTGGAGGGTGGAGGCAGAATCTTCATGGGGCTAAGCTCATCCACTACCTGCTTCCAGAGACTTTAAGTAGGTGTAAGAATTGGATTTTAAATTTTATTTTAAGTGACCCCAGTGCTAACCAGATGATTTAAGTTCCAGAGGGCATTCAAAGGAGGAGATGTAGAGGTAGTAAAAGAATTTTTGAATTCTTTTGTTTGCTCACTCATTTATTCACTCAGCTCTCATTTATCGTGTCCTTAGCCTACAATGGGGAATCCCAGAGTCCAAATGCCCGAATTCACAAATAGATTGTAAAAAATGCATTGAGTATCTACCATGTGCCGGGCACGTTTCATACATAAGTAGGGTGCTTCGAGGGAAGTATCATCATCCTGGTGAGATAAGGGAGACTCAGAGGCTAAATGACATGCCCAAGGTCACTCGACTATGGAAAAGTCAGTATTCATACCCAGGCCTGCCTGACTCCAAGCTCAGGCTATGGTTTAGATCTTTACGCTGGAATATTTGAGTCATAAAAAAGAATATGTGTTGGCCGGGCACGGTGGCTCACGCCTGTAATCCCAGCACTTTGGGAGGCCAAAGCAGGTGGAACACCTGAGGTCAGGAGTTTGAGACCAGCCTGGCCAACGTAGTGAAACCCCGTCTCTACTAAAAATACAAAAAATTTAGCCAGGTATGGTGGCGCATGCCTGTAATCCCAGCTACTCGGGAGACTGAGGCAGGAGAATCCCTTGAACCCAGGAGGTGGAGGTTGCAGTGAGCCGAGATCGCACCACTGCACTCCAGCCTGGGCAACAGAGCAAGACTCTGTCTCGGGGAATAAAAAAAAAAGAAAAAGAATATGTGTTAACACACAGCTAAGATAGAAAGTATGATAATGAAATGACTGACAGTGATCAAGGAATAAACCGTTTCCAACAAGGCCTGTCACAGTGTGTGCCTCACCCCTACTGCACTCCCCCGTTTCTCCTACCACCCCCACTCCAAGGTGACCGCTATCTAAATCCCAGTTTCATCATTCCCTTGCTATGTTTTTGGTTGTTTTAACCATGTGTTTCTGATAAACATGTGTGAAGACAACCCTTCAGTTTTGTTTTGTTTTGAACTTTATGTCAGTGTTTTGTGATGTCTTCTGCAGCTTGCTTTGCATCTTCCACAGGCTTCTGAGATTCACCCAGCTGATATATGTGGCTTCAGTTTATTCATTTCCACTGCTGTGAAATTCCATTGTTTGAACACTGTGTCATATTTTATGTATCCAATTTCCTGTAGAAGGACGTCTAGGTCATTTTCAGTTGTGGTTTTTTGTTTTGTTTTGTTTTGCTATTACAAACAATGCTACAAAGAAAATTCTTCATCTTGTCTTCTGATGCACCTGACAGGGTTATATGGGTTCAGGGGTGGGCTTGTAGGGTTGCAGGGCTTGTTTGTGCTATATTTTTACTCAAGACAGCTCCAAAGTAGTTGTACCATTTTCCTTACAGCTTATAAGCTGGAGGAGAGTCTTCTGAGGGGCCACTGTTGAGCTTAGGAAAGGGAGCTCCAAAGTGTTGACTACCTAGCAAACCTCGAGATTAACCTTGAGAACCATCTGCCCTAAGAATGGTAATTTAATATGGTAATCCATGGAGCAGTGCACAGACTTGATAGTTTATCTCCAGAGCTGAGCCTCTGAGGTTGGAAACACTTGCAGTTATTGACCAACGTCCCAGGAGAAAACTGGCCTCCTAACTGACACAGGAGAACCAAGAACAATCGTGGCCATCTCACCTGACCTGCGAGACTTGGCATCTTTGCCAGAGCATGTGAGCTTGTGGGATTTTTAATGCATGTCCTTCTCTTGCAGCGGAATCTAAATTTGTCAGCCTTGGATTCAAGGGCATGTGATGTGACTGACTGGAGGCACCTAGATCCTGGCTGGGATTCCACCCCTCTCCCTGCTTGTTCTTCCTCCTTCTCACTCCCTTGCCTTCTACTAATATTTATGTCCTTCTTTTACATTTTTGATTGGGTAATGCATTCAAAGAGCTGGAAGTTCAAAGTATAAAACTATATGAGGGAAAGTCTTGTTCCCACTACTCACTCCCACTTGCCTGCTCCCTTTTATTGAAGGTCATCACTTTTGTTGTATGTCCTTCTAGAATAGGGTTTTGTTTTGTTTTTGGTGTGTGTTATTTCTTACAGGGTCTCACTCTGTTGCCCAGGCTGGAGTGCAGTGGTGCAGTCACGGATCACTGCAGCTTGGAACTCCTGGGCTCAAGCCATCCTCCGGCCTCAACCTCCTGAGTAGCTGGGACTACAGGTGAGCACCACCAGGCCTGGCTACTTTTTTATATTTTTTGTTTTGCTTTGCTTTTTGTAGACATGGGGTTTTGTCATATTGCCCAGGCTGGTCTCAAACTCTTGGGCTCAACTGATCCACTGGCCTTGGCCTGCCAAAATGCTGGGATTACAGGCATGAGCCACTGTGCCTGGCCAAGTTTTTAAAATTATGAGCAAATATGAATATACAGTCTTATTAAAGCCCCCTGTTACAGGAAAGATAGCATACTATACATATGATTCTACCATTGCCTTTTCTCATAAAGAGGTATCTTAGATGTCTAGTCCATATCATCATAATAAACATTTCATTATTCTTTTTAAATAGCTGCGTTAATTTTCTATTCTATTCCACCAATATTTCTCACTTACTGTGCACCAATCTCTTTGCTGGGTGCTGGGGTCAAAATGATGAATCAAAAGAGGTCCTGCCTTCAAGGAGACTACAGCCTAAGGGCAAATAGACAAACAATTATGATGAACTATCGCAGGAGCTATTCATTCCAAAAATATGAAGTACCAACTGCTTGTCAAGCATTGCTCTTGGCAGAGGGGAGATGACAGAAAACAAAACCCATGAAAATCCCTGCCCCGTGGCGCTTCTGTCCTAGCAGAGCTCATGCTCTAGCACTGTGATAAGGGAGAGTAGGGGGTGGGCACATGGTGGGGCCCCTAACCCGGTCTGGGGGTCAGGGAAGGCTACCTGGAGGAAATAGGTGGACCGAGAGATAATGAGGGTGGTGTTGGCAGGACTTGGTTGGATTTGACCGGGAGGGAGAGGAAGCCTCAGTCCTCTCATCTAAAATGAGGCAAATGACCCCGTCCCTGGGCTCCTCTGAGACTCTGATACAAGTAAGGCTCAGGGCAGTGGTGCTGTCCAGACCCATCCCTTCATCTGCTGCGGTGCTGCCCCCACCTTACCCCTCAGCCATGGTGTCCGTACTCCAGCAGGCACTCTGCCTTCCTGCCTTCTCAGCCCACTCCCCACCCCATCACACACACACACACAACACACACCACACACACACCACATGCACACACCGCATACCACACCGCACACCACACACACACATCACACCATGCATACACACACACCCATCACACCGCACACCGCATACACACACACACTACACTACTCCCCACACATACACCCCCACACACATACACACACCATATACCACACCGCACATCACACACACACAACATGCATACACACACCCATCACACCACACACCACATACACACACACTACACCACACATGCACACACCACATTCCACACCGCACACCACACACACACACCATATGCATACCCCACATACCACACTGCACACCACACACACAGCACACCATGCACACACACACACCCTTCACACCGCACACCACACACACACTACTCCACACAAACACCACAAATGCACACACCACATTTCACACCGCACACCACACACACAAAACACACACACCACACATGCACACACCACATTCCACACCACACACCACACATACACACACACATAACACACATGCACACACCACATACCACACCACACACACACATCACACCATGCATACACACACCCCTCACACTGCACACCACAAACACACACACTACACCACACACACCACACATGTACACGCCACATCACACACCACATACACATACACACTCCTCACTGCACACCACACACACTACACCACACACATACACACACCTGCACACACCACATACTGCACCGCACACCACACACACATCATACCACACATACACACAAACCCCTCACACTGCACACTACATACACACATACACACTACACCACACACACACACTACATACCACACCACACACCACAAACATTCACACCATGCATACACCCTTCACACCACATACACACACACTACATCACACACACACCACACATGCACACACCACATACCACACCGCACACCACACACACAATTACACCTCTCATACACACACACCCCTCACACTGCACACCACACAACATACCACACGTGCACACACAACATACCACACCCTACACCACACACACACATTACAACACAAATACCACACACACCCCACACACCACACTACGCACCACACACATATGCACACATATACGCACAAACACACACACCACATACACACATATTACACCATACACACTACACATGCACACACCATATACCGCACACATATGTGCACACATACACCCCACACACCACATACACACACATTACACCACACATACCACACACACATTACACCACACACCCACACACCCTCCATACACATCCCCCACACCACACACACATTACACCACACATACCACACACACATCACACACACCACATACTACGCACAGGCACACACCACACCACATACATCACATACATACACACATCACACTACACCACACATGCAAACGTACATACACCACACCACATATGCACATGCACACCACATACATGGGCACATCACACCACACATGCATGTATCCACACACCACATACACACCCCTCCACACACACACCACACACCACACATGCAAACACAGCACACCCACCCACACCCACCCACACTCACACACACAGACCCCACCCACACCACACGACGAACACCACACACCACAAACATACCATTCACACACAACACAGACATCATGCACACCACACATCATACATACACCACACACACCACACATACACACACATCATATGCACACACCACATACCACACACATGCACACACACGCACATACACAGACACTCCACACCTCATACATACACACACCACACCACACACACAACACACTCCACATGCACACACCACATACACACACACTACACCACACATACCACACACACACCCCACACACCCCTACACACCACACCACATATGGACATACCACATACCACACTGCACACCACATACACACACATTACACCACACATACTATACACACACAACACACTACACATACACACACCACATACCACACACACGTGCACACATACATACATACACCTCACACCACACACCACATACACACACATTACACCACACATACTACCCCCACACCCTTCACACACAACAGAAACGTACACACACATTACATCACACATACCACACACAGCACTCACACCACAAACATACCACACACACCACACATGCACACGCCACATACTACACACATGCACACACACACCTTACACACCACTTACATACACATCACAGTACATACAGCACACATGCACACATACATACACACCACACATCATACACATGCACACCACATACATATGCACATCACACCACACACACCACACATGCACATACCCACACACCACATACACACCACACACATCACACCACACACATCACACATGCCACCTACACCCACCCACCCACACCCTCATTCACAGACCCCACCAATACACACCACATACAAACACACATCATACACACATACCACACACACCGCAAACGCACAGCATACTGTACACACAGAACATATACATCACACATACCACACACCATACACATACCACACACACACACAGACACATCAAAGACACACACATACCACATACCACCCACCCTCCACACACAACACACACCACCCTCAGACACGTACACAATCTTGGTACGGGCCATTGACCCTCTGCAGGAGTTCAACTTCCTGCCTAGCCTGGCCCATCCCCATCGCACCTAGGGAGCCTCCCGGAGTGCGCACAGCCCACTGTCACGGCTAGGCTGCCACACACCTCTCAGCCAGTCCGGTGTCACTGCCGGCGTGACTGTTTTGTGGACCCCATTGGACTGTGCGGTCCCAGGACTCCCACGCCATGGGTGCTGCCTGGTGCCTGACCTTGCAGGGACCTGCTTGAGGCATTGCCTGTGGCTGGTGGACAGGACAGGCCACCAAACACTCAGTGAGGGTTGGGGACTTCTGCTGAGTGGGAGCAAATGGCAGGAACAGTCAGCATTTCCCAAAATCCCCGTGGGCGGTTTGGCACCCACCCAGGCCCAGCCCAGGTTTATTTGGTGATAAGATTTGGTTTTGTTTTTTCCCAAGCCCCAAGGGCGTGTGCCACCCAGAGCCCTGGCCTGGATTATCTGTTGCTCAGTGGCAGCCTGGAGCTGTGCCTCGCAGTGGGGCTGTGCAGGGCATGGGGTGCTCTTATTCATCCTGACCCTCTTCTTTACAGGGATGGTGATGAAGGACCCCAGAAGCGCTGCCTGTACACCCCCAACCAGGCTCCAGTGGGTGCCACTTGTCCCGGCCTGAAGTCACAGCCTCCAGATGCTGCCTCCCTCTGCCAATTCCTATACCTGCTGGGGTGGACACTGAGGGCCAGTCCCAGACTTGGGAGCAGGGTGGGAGTGGGATGGGGGGTGGTGCGTAGGGAGGACCTCTATGTGGCCCTGATTGTTGGCTCAGTTTCCTCTGCCTGGGGGATGGGTTGAGATGTCCCCTGGTTGTGACAGAACAGAGGCTGCAGGTTCTCAGCCCCTGCAATCCCCACCCTGCATTTGGAACATTCTGTCCTGGCTCCTGAGTCTGAAGAAGGTGCAAAATGTGTGGTTTGGAACTCCTATTGAATCTGAGCGTGGCTCTGCCTCTTGCAGACTCAGAATCTTTTCCATTCTAGCTTCAGTGTGTCTGAGACTCATTGTTTGCTAAGGATTGATTCCATGAATGAGTGACCTGCCCTCAGTGGGGCCCATCCTTGATCGTAGGCTCTGTTGTTGCTGTCTTGAAACTCAATAATGTCTGAACAAGAGACCCGGATCTCCATTTTGCACCGGGTTCTGTAAATTATGTAGCCAGTCTCAGTTCACTTTTAGTTGTCTGCCCTTTAGTATCTTTTTCATATCGAACCACGTAGATGTATTTTTAAAAATATAAAATCTAAGTCGCACAAAAGATAAAAACAAAGAAGGACACATTTATTATTTGTTGTGCACCTTTAGAAATGGTCCACAGGTCCACTGCAGTGCACAAGCTGCTGCATGCACACCGCACGTGACAATCCAGTCTGCCTGACTCCCAGGACAGCCTGTGTGATATGCAAAATGCCATTCCCATGAGGGCGCATCATGTTTCCCAGGAGCTCTGAAGGACACAGATAGAGCTTGTGCTCTAGGCTGCCCCCCTGTTCCCGTGCTGGCTCCATGCTGGTGTCCAGAATGAGCCAGTTCACACTCCAGTGCCACGTGGGGGGAGAAGTGGCTCCCAAACTCCCCTGCTGACCTCCCCCCGGCCCCTAGGTGTACCTTCCAAGTCAGATGACAGTCATAGGCTAACATCCCCAGCTTTGCCTGGAACTCAGGAAAGGATACTTACGGGTAGACAGAAAGATTCTGCAGTGGGCATGGACTTGGCCATTGAAGACCCTGAGAGGACATCTTGTCCACCCTCTCCAGGCTAGGCCCTGTCTGTGCTGCCTGGAGCCAGAAGAAAAAGATTCCAGCCTTGGAATCTGCAGGGAGGGAGACTCCTTGCAGTGAGCTTTCTTGCATTTCATTCTAGTATTTGCCACAGATGCTGATTTCTTGCCTGAGTCATATATATTGAAGTTTTTGCTCATTTCTTACTAGGCTTAAGAAATTGGAATTCTCTGCCTTACAAATCCCAAAGGGCTAAACATGCCTCCAAGCCCATGAACAAGCTTTGAGCATCTGAAGGACAAAACCCCAGCTCCTAAAACCTTCATGAGCATCCACTTTCTGCTCAGCCTGGAAGAGAAGGAGCACTGCTGCCCTCTGGTGGTCAGGCAGCAGAGCATCTAGGAGCCACCCAAGGGAGCTGGGTCCCCTTTGCTTTGTCTTTGGGACAGCAGCTTTGAGTATTAGGTCAATGGATGTCCTTTCACTGTTCCTGGAACATGGCAAGCTTGTTTTTGCCTCAGGGCTTTGGGTCTTGATGCTCCCTCTCCCTGGAATGTTCTTTCTCCAGCTCTCAGGTGACAGCTGCTTTCTCATTCTCTAGCCCTCAGACCAAATGCCACCTCCTCAGGGAAGCCCTCCTGGACCACTTCATCTAAAATAGCAACTCATCCCACCCCCTGTCACTCTATCCCATTACCCTGTTTCCCTTTGTTTATAGCACTTACCTGCTATTTGGAAATATCTGTCTAGAGTCTGCGTCTCTCCCTCACCAGATGTCGGCTCCAGGAGGGCAGAGTCCCTGTGTTTTGTTTGTCACTGGACTTCAATGCATCGTACATAGTAGATACGCAAAAATAAACTTGTCAAAGAAGTAAATAAATGCATATTGACAACAGCTACTGGATTTAAGCACAGCTTCTGGTCCTCAAAACCACACTGTGATACAGGGGGCAAGGCACATCTCACCCCCACAGGACAGATAAACAAATTGAGACTCAGAGATTTATGTGAGTTGCCTGAGCACCCAGCAAGGAGGAATGAGCCATGGTCCCTTGTGGCTTCTCCTGTGCTCCCTCAGTCTTCTACCCTGGAGGGAGCAGAGGGGGTCTCAGGCACGACAGCTTCTGCCAGGAGCTGAGGCGGGCCCAGCATGTGGGGTCCAGACCTTTACTCCTTAGTCTGCTCGTTGAAGGAGGCTGAGCTGTGCCATTGTCCAAAGCTTTGCTTGTGGCTGAGGGGTGTGAGGTGGGAGCGGGTGAGGAAGGTCTGTCCACAGGAGGATGTAACCAGACTCCAATCAGTGGCCGGTCTGCGGAGATGTGTGTTCTGGAGCGGGAGTGTTTGAGGGGTGGATGGGTGGGGAAAGCTGGAGCCACTGCGGAAACGGTGACTTCTGCAGGACCAGGGTTTGGCTCTGACATTCCGGGCTTCATCCAGACGCTCTCACTATACTCAGCCTGAGCCAGGGGCTGCCCTCTGACTCTGGGCCCAGCACCAGGGTCAAGGGCTCTGCCGCAGAGCTTAGGCCCCCTGCACTGTGCTTGGGCAGGCAGTGGGGCTGGAGGGGGATGGTCACCTGTTCTCAAGCCTGGGGTGACCAGGCTCGGGGCAGGCTCTGTTTCTGGGCTTCCAGAGCAGGCGTCTGGAGGTCAGCAGCATCTGCTCCTTGACTGGTCTGGCGAGAGCTTGATGGATTCTGTGAGGTGATTTTCTAAGATGCTCTGGTACTGGGGAAGGAAAGAGAGGCCGGCATTCATGTCCTGAGATACAGAGTGCACCGCCCGCCCTTCATTTCTTAGTGGGCCTCAGAGCCTGGGCTCTTGTTTCCTCCCCATTATACTTCTGGGAAACTGAGGCCCAGACAGGGAAGCCACTGGTGTTCCCCACCCTCCTTCTTCCCTGTGTCTCCCCTCCAGCCTCTTCCCAGGAGCCCAGAGCAGGTCAGTGTCTGAATTAGCGGCCCAAGTCTCCTGACCTCCAGCCATGTCCTATAACTTTCCATTCTCCAGAGGGGACAGCTGAGGTGTCATTTGGGCTTAGGCAGAGAGGTGACGGCCACTCCTCATTTCTCCTGGAGACCTCTTCCTGCAAATATCCCAATACCCCCAACCTCCTTTTCATCCTGTCCACCTCTCAGCCTCCCCTACTCATGCCTAGAAAAGCCCAGTCGGTCCTCTGTCCTGGCCACATCCAGGCAGCCCTCCCTAAAATGGACTCAATGTTTCTCCCGGGCCCTTTTGCTTCTCCAGTCTCTCTTGTCCCAACAAGGGTCCAGAGGAAGCCCCTTCTCGGTCTGCCAAGCTTCTGCCTTTCCAGCTGGCTCCACTTCTCACCAAGAGCCTGCCCCCCCTCCCCAGTTCAGGGGTTGGGGTGGTATGGAGGAGGGGGCCCTTCTTTAAGCAGATGGGTTCCTCAGGCTGAAGACTTTCTTCTTCAAGGGATCCCATCTCTTCACGCTGCTATGGCCTCTGCTAGTCACAGAGCTCAATCGCGTTCATGTTCCTCCCACAGCCAGTACTGTGGGCCTCGGGGTGAGTGATGAGCATTCACTCTACGTGGAAGGGGTTTGTGCTACATTGGCATGGACCTGAGCAGGGGCAGAGCATCCTGTGTATCACGCAAAATTGTCCCTGGCAGTCCATCTCAAGTGTCCTTCTCAGGGGGCAACTTCCAGGGACAGGGGTGCTGCCTCCTTGTCTCTGATTTTATCTCCCCGGCAGTTCCCAGGCTCAGGCCAGACACCCAGCTGGTGAATATCCACCAAATCCTTAATGCTCATGACCCTAGACCTCAGGAGGTGGTGTCCAGCCTTGCCTCCTGCACCTTGATGATGGTGGTGCCCCCAAATACATAAGAAGATCCTCTGACACCCCATCACTCACTGCCACCCCCAGACTGAGCAGTAATGTACCCCGATGGCACAGAGCTTGTGGTGCTGAACCTGGGTCCAGCCCTTCGTCACGGAGTTGGTTTCTTGGGGATCCCCCATCTCTCACCCCCCACCCTGGTAGGATCTTGGGACTAGCAGAGTGAGCACCATCTGGGGTAGGTGTGAGAAATGTCCTCATTTGTTGCATGGGCAAAGCCTGAGGTTTTCATGCTAGTGTTGCCCTAATGACATCTGCACCCTCCCCGGGTGCAAGTCATCGCTGAGCTCTTTCCGTTAATGACATCATTTTCACTTGACAATGGCAGCATCTTGTTCCTCAGATTTCCTGCAAAACCTCCAGGCCATAATTAGGTTTCTATGTCATTCTGTTCTCCAGGCCCCAGGCCTCTTGACAACTTGTGAATCTAACTGTACAAGTAATACAACACTATTCCAATGCTTGCAGCATTTCAGTGGGGGTGTGACTGTGGGAGTCTGTCTCTGTTCCCCCAGTCTGGCCACCTCAGTGGCCTTGCCTTAAGTCCTGCATCCTGAGGACCATGTAAAGCTGCTGTGATTCACTGAGCAGCTGCCAGCCAGCCCACTTCCCTCCACTGGATGTGGTGATTCTGTCTTTTTCCAATTAACCCCAAAAGAACTGGGCCTCTAGGCAATATCTCATGCTACTGGAGCTGGGCCTGAAAAGCCCCAGCAGGGATGGTATTGCTAATTTTTCCTTCCCCTCCCCCTCCCTCCCCTTCCCCTCCCCCTTTCCCTCCCCTTTCCTCCCCTTCCCCTCCCCCTTCCCCTTCACCTCCTCCGCTTCCCCTTCCCCTTTCTTCCTTTCTTTGACAGGGTCTCACTCCTGTGGCCCAGGCTGGAGTGCAGTGGCACAATCATGGCTCACCATGGCCTGACTTCCTGGGCTCAGGTGATCCTCCCACCTTAGCCTCCCAAGTAGCTGGGACTACAGGCATGTGCCACCATGCCCACCTAGTTTTTTATATTTTTAGTAGAGATGGGGTTTCACCCAGGCTGGTCTGGAACTCATGGGCTCAAACAATCCATCTGCCTTGCCGGATGTAATCCCAAAATGCTGGGATTACAGGTGTGAGCCACCATGCCCAGCCAGCATTGCTAACTTTCTGGAGCAAAACCTCACCACCCCATATCTTCCAAAGCTGGTGGATATCTCTTCTTTAATTATTAGGGCATCCTTCGTCATATTTTGGAACAACTAAATACCTAATCCTTGAATGTGGCTAAATTGGTTACTAAAGTAATCTACCTTTCCTTTCAGAATGTTAACTGAACACCTACTCTGTTCTCTTTCAGAATGTTAACTGAACACCTACTCTGGTCTCTTTCAGATAATTAACTGAACACCTACTCTGATTTCTTTCACAATGTTAACTGAACACCTACTGTGATTTCTTTCACAATGTTAACTGAACACCTACTCTGGTTTCTTTCACAATGTTAACTGAACTCCTACTGTGGTCTCTTTCAGAATGTTAACTGAACACCTACTCTGGTTTCTTTCACAATGTTAACTGAACACCTACTGTGGTCTCTTTCAGAATATTAACTGAACACCTACTCTGGTTTCTTTCACAATGTTAACTGAACACCTACTGTGATTTCCTTCACAATGTTAACTGAACACCTACTCTGGTTTCTTTCAGAATGTTAGCTGAACACCTACTGTGGTCTCCTTCAGAATGTTAACTGAACACCTACTCTGGTTTCTTTCACAATGTTAACTGAACTCCTACTGTGGTCTCTTTCAGAATATTAACTGAACACCTACTCTGATTTCTTTCACAATGTTAATTGAAAACCTACTGTGATTTCCTTCACAATGTTAACCGAACACCTACTCTGGTTTCTTTCAGAATGTTAGCTGAACACCTACTCTGGTTTCTTTCACAATGTTAACACCTACTCCGGTCTCTTTCAGTATGTTAACTGAACACCTACTCTGCTCTCAGCAGGTGCCTCACATATTGCTCTCTTTACTACAAGGCTCACTTGCAGAACTCAGACGTTTCCACCTGGTGTCTCGAGGATCCTTGAATGCAATGTGCTCACATGGACGTCATTATCCCTTTCTCTCATGAAGCTCCTGCTTTCTCCTTTGTTCCCCGTATTGCTTGGCTCATGGAATCACTAATCCATTGTCCCTTCATTTGCCAAGCTAGAAACCTGGTCATCAGCCTAAACTGCTCCTGTTCCTTTCTCCCTGCATTTGATCATCATCAGCTCCTGATGTTTCTACCTCCAAAGTCTCTTTAATTCACCCTCACCTTGCCAGCTCTATCCTCTCACACCTGGACTATTGCAGTAGCCTCTTCATCATCACCCATGGCGCTCATCCTCTCGGCAGCACGAAGCTCCCTTGCTGAAAACCCTATGATGCAGCTCCATTTTAAAACAGCATGTAATGCCCTCTCTGCACTACAATAGCATTTTATTTAACCCTCACAGTAACCTCATAGGGAAGATATTATTATCTGTACTTTAAAGTTAGGGAAGTGGTGGCTTAGAGAGGCTTCATGACTTGCTCAGGGACACACAATGAGAGGTAGAGCTGAGTATAAAGCCAGATCGTTCCGACTTCAGAGGCCCAGCTCTTTCCACCCCAGCTGGGGGCTCACTCCTTATTATAGAAGCGCCTCCCACATTCTCCTCTCAAAACACCCTGGGCTGGAGCAAATGAGCCCACAATCTCCCTGGGAAGGAAGGCAAGTTCCTTATAGGAAATGCCTCTGAAAACTTTTCTTTGACCTCAAAATCTGTATTTGTAAACTTCTGTTTCATCTTAAGAATTGATGTGAATTTTACATTCTATGCCCTAGTTAAGTGTGTTTGTTTTTATGTGAACGTTTCTCCTGCAAATTTCTAAGTAACAAAGACACTGCAGAAAGTTGTGCCCTGTTGGGTTTCAAGGTCCTGGGTGAGCTCCTGAGCACCTCGGGCAGCCTAGCAGCACCATCTGGAAGGCGTGGGCCTGTGGTATGGCATCTGCACTCCTAGTCGGGGTTCACGAGGCCTTGGTGGCCTTGCTGGCTTCATCACTAACTATGTCCCCGTGCTCTGACATTCCTCCACGCCAGGTGTCTTCTTGCCAACATGACCTACAGTAGGTGTCTCCTATAAGCCCCAGGAACTCATGCCTGGGTCTCTGGCCTTGGCCTTCTCTCTGCCCTTCTTCCCCTCCGGCTTACACCCACCATGGCCTACCATCTCCACCTGCAAACTGTGAATTACCTTCCAAACTTTCTGACATGTCACTTCTCCCAGCAGGCATCCTCACTCATCCTCACTACCAGCTGTCTGGGAGTCACCTTGTCATCTTAATCACACCCCCCACAGCACTCATGTCACTCCGGGACAGTCACTTATGGATGTCTCACTCTACTGACCTCAAGTGCTCTGAGGGCTGTGTCTCCAGCTCTAGCCTGACAACTCAATGGATATTTATGGACTCAAATTATTTTCATTTTATAGAGAGGAAATGGAAGCTCAGAATAGTCATATGTCTTGCCAAGGGGTCCACTTGAGAGAACCAGGGGAGGATTCAAATCCAGGCCAGTCTGATCACAGGTACCACACCTGTGACCTCCAGACTTCTGATCAGTGCACATGCCCCATAAACATGGGGGACCGACATGGATTGCTACCCATTTATTCTTTTGCCAAGAAAGGGTGTTATAAAAAAAATGCAAGCAGACAAGCCACTGTCTACTAACAGCACCATGTCATAACAGCGACACAGTCAGAAGGACCTGATTTAACCACAATATAGTAGGAAGGACACCATTTGAAGAATAAAGGATACTCCTTCCCCAGATAGGACAGGTGCTAAGCATGCACAGACACGGGCTGTGGGCTGATGGACACTTCCTGGTGACTAAGCATTTGGCAGTCGCTGCACTGTGCTTGTGGAGGATTATTGATCAATATCACCACCAAGGTCAAACAGCATTCCTCAGCACTCCAGGAGGACAGCAAGAGCAGGCACGCCTGTGCTTCAGGAGCCAACTACACCGCCCATGTAATAAAGCCACACTTCTTGACCAAGCACTAAGAGAGGGACACCTCTCTGCTTTTCCTTTCCCGAGACAGTGAGGGCTGGAGGAGAAGCAGAACAAGAGCCAGTGAGGGTCGGGGGAACCCTAAGATCAGGGCTGTGAGGCCTGAGGATGCCTAGCTGGGCTCTTCTCCCTGAGCAGCCGCTAGAGGTAGCTGCTGCCTCTTTCTCTCTGGGACAACCCCTCGCTGGGGCCTGGAGCACTTCTTTCCAGAGCAGCTGCAGAGGGCATCCCATGAGGGCGGCGGATGCTTCCACATAAGGGAAGCTTCCAGTCCCCCACCCTCATTTGCCCATTTCCTCAATTCAGAACCATTGCTGCGATGATCCTTTCCCCTCTCCTAAAAGGCCCATGTTGATGAGATGTGGCAGAATGATGACACAAGCTGAGCCCCTCCCCATGCCAATCCCAGGGCTTCCAAACTCCACATCAGACTGACGTTAAAACCACGCCACTGCTTCCAGGCAGCCTTCCATGGTCTTCCCCACCTCCTTGCAGAATTCAGACTTTTCTACCTGGTGTCTCAAGGAACCTTGAACGCAATGTGCTTACATGAATGTCATTGCCCCTTTCTGTCATGAAGCCCCTGCTTTCTCCTTTTTTCCCTGTCTTGCTTGGCTCATGGAATCACTAATCCATTGTCCCTTCATTTGCAAAGCTGGAAACCTGGCCATCAACCTAAACTGCTCCCTTCTCCCACTCCCTTCTTCCCTCTCCCTCCTCCCTGCCTCCTCCCAGCCCCCTCTCCTTCCCTGCAGCATGGGCTGTCTGTGAGCCCCTCCTCTAGACCCTACCCCTAAGTCCTGCCCCACCAGACCACACTGTATTGCAATCACTTAGGGGCCTATCTGCCTGCCTCTTGAGACAGAGGGTCCTGAGGCCTGTACAGTGCCTGCCACACACTCAACACATTCTTGCCGAACCTTCGTACCTAGGGGTCTACGTCTATTCATCTTTTTGATTGGGAGATGTCAGCAACTCGTACAGGTTTGATATTTCACTTGGGTGAATGCCTGGCACCTCCCACCAATGAAGATTGGACTAGACCATCACTTCTCAAACCCTTCCTCGTTAGGATCTCCAGGGCTCAGGTACAGGACTGGAGTTTTTAGATACTCCACGAGGGATTTGGTTAGTTAGCTGGATTGACAGACCACTGACTGCATGCTCTAAGGTAGCTTTCTACCTCTGGCATTCTGTGGTTCCAGAGCTGGAGTGCTGTTAAACCCATTCCATAACTAATTAACTGAGACGATGAGCAATCCTGTCCCACCCACATCCCTGCCCACACCCAAGATGTTCTTCTCTGGAAGCTCCCGAGACCCTCCCCAATCCAGGGGCGGTCTCAGCAGGTCCTGCCGCCACAGCCACTCACCCTCGACAGAGCCCTACTGGCCAGCATCTCAAACGCTTGCACCACATTGATGTCATTCTTGGCACTGACTTCAAAGTAAGGAATATCTTTCTCTCTACACCAGCCTTGAGCTACTTCCTGGGGTACCTGAATGAGGGAAAGAAATAGGCGTGGTGTCTGTATTATCATCGCCATCACCACCATTGCCACCATCACATCCCCACCATCCCCATCAGGCCCACCATCCCCACCATCCCCATCATCCCCACCAGGCCCACCATCCCCACCAGGCCCACCAGGCCCACCATCCCCACCAGGCCCACCACCACTCCCATTTATTGAGAACCTCCCAAGTGTCTCTAACTTTACATATAAATGTAGGAGGTGGGAACTGTTAGCTCCATTTCACAGATGAAAAAACGGAGGCCTGGAGAAAAAAAACTTGCCCAGAGTATGTGAGGCTGAGCAGGATTTGAACACAGGCCTGGCGGAATTACAGCCCACTGCACTTTGTTGCCTTCCTAAGGCCTAAACTAAGAGCTTCTGCCAACATTGCCTCTTTTGTCAGTCCCTTCAAAGAGAGCTGCACATGAGAGACACCAGCCAGGAATGGCAGGAAGGGAGGACTTTCTTCCCCAGCCCAGCTAAGCAGGCTCACACTCAGGAGGCCTGTTGCTGGGCAGAGACTCGGGTCTCAGCTGACCTTGCTTCCCCAGGGCAGGGTCCTAGGAACAATTAATAAGCTCCTACTATGGGCCAGTTGCTGTGTTAGTCACTTTATCATATATGAACTCATCTCATCCTCTCCATGACCCTGTGAGATAGGCATTATCAGTTCCACTTTATAGACAAAAACACTGAGGTTCAGAGAGGTTCAGCAACTTGCCCCAGATCACATAGCTGAGAGAAGGCAGAGCTTGGATGTAGCCCCAGCTCAGTGCTCCCCCTGGCATCTGAGCTGCCCTCTACAGGGCACTGCATAAGAACCATGCCTCTCCTTTTCTGTCTCCCTTCGGGAGCTCAGGGTCAGGAGCTCAGCTCCTGGTCTGGCACACATGAGCCACCAGGCACAGGCTGAATGACTACATCTCCACCCAAGTGCAAACGGCGTTCAATTTGTGATGTTGGCTTGGAAATGCTCTGGAAGCCCTCTGGGTTACTTCCAAAGACAATTGGTACCCCTGAGTTTGATGTCTAATTATTTGGGGAAGGGGAAATGACCACATACTGAGCATTTGCTGAGCCTGGTACTTTATAATCATTATTTCAGTTTATTTAGGGGAGCCAAGGTCTTTCTCATGGAGAAAGGACCATTCCACCCCTCTCCCAGAACACAGTGCAGGCCGAGGCAAATCAAACACTGCCCCTGTTTAATTGTCTCTGTGGCTCCTGCAGGTCCTGGGAATGTCTGTCTTACTGGGATAAAAAGTCCCAGCTGATCTCAGCAGACCCTTTCCTCTGACTTACCATGACCAGATCTACCCAAGTGCCCGGTTATGACAGACTTTTTAATCTCATTTTTCCCTGCTCTCTGTTTGGTTTGGAATGATTGCATACAGACTCTGAAATATCATTGTGATTATGTTGCAAATTAACATTCTTTTTATATCTCCCCCTCCTCCCCACCCCAACCTCAGAAAGCTGGCCTGGGAAGAAAGCTACCCAGACAGTATTTTTCACTTTTCTCTTCCAATCCCAGAGACAGTTTCATGATTTTTAAAATTGTCTCATCTTTTGTTTATAAAATGAAAATTATTTATAACTTAGGCTCTGACTCTGAAAATAAGCTCAGGGTGTGATAGTTGGGGACATGGGAAGTATGATAATTCTGAAAGTGTTACTTGCATTAATGTTGCTTTTGGTCAACAATATACTACTGACATTTCACTTTTCTGGTTGCAATTTTACTTGTTCATTGGAGGCCAAACATTTGACAAAATTAGTCCAGTTGGCATCATTTTATTTATGATGCTTTTCCATCTCATGTGCTTTTAAAATAATCAATTATACAAGTGCTAAAATTAGTATTACTAACGTTAATTACTAAACCATTAAACCATCACTAAGAATAACAAAGGATATTTTTAGAAAACATGATCTTAAGTCTACGGAATCACTGGCAAATCAGAAATTACCCACCTGAGCACAGAGCAAATAATTCATGCCCCAGTGAATAAATTCCTTGTAGCATAGATGCCAGCAAAGCTATTCTTTCTAATAAACTATTTTTTTTCAATATTACCTTCTGTAGAAGGAACAGGGATTTTTTTTTAAACTAAATCAGTAATTTCTTTAAAATTATTCTGGCTATATATGCCTGTTTTTACTGTGGTAAATATACCTAATAAAATTTACCATTTTTAAATTAAACACTTTTTAAAAAAATTTTTGTTTTGTTTTGTTTTTGGAGAGATGGGGGTCTCACTATGCTGCCCAGGTTGGTCTTGAACTCCTGACCTCAAGTGATTCTCCCACCTCAGCCTCCCATAGTGCTGGGATTACAGATAAAATGTACCTGGCTCATTGTAACCATTTTTAAGCATACAGTTCATGGGCATTCGGTACATTCATATTGTATTCACATTGTACATTCCTTGCTATTCATCTTCAGAATTTTCTCACCTTCCTAAACTAGCAATATATATTATAAATATGTGTGTATATATATGTATGTATATGTGTGTATATATGATGTATGTATGTGTGTGTGGGTTTTTTTTTTTTTTTTCTTTTAGTGTCTTGCTCTGTCGCCCAGGCTGGAGCACAGTGGTGTGATCTTGGCTCACTGCAGCCTCTCCCTCCCGTGTTCAAGCGATCCTCCCAGCTCAGCCTTCCGAGTAGTTCAGACTACAGGTGTGCCACCACACCTGGCTAATTAAAAAAAATTTTTTTCTTTTGTAGAGATGGGGTCTTGACATGTTGCCCAGGATGGTCTCGAACTCCTGGGCTCAAGCTATCCCCCGACTTTGGTCTCCCAAGGTGTTGGGATTACAGGCGTGAGCCACTGGGCCAAACTGCAGTACATTTTTATATACTCATTTTCTTCTTATTAGGTAGGAGAAGCTGCTGTATTTTCCCAGCTGTCCCTTGGAGATAATAATAAGGAGGATCATTTCCTTGTTCCATTATTTCCATTATGGAAATCACATCCTTCCTATTATTACTCAGTCTCAGGAAGTCTGTGTTCTGGTCTCCGCCCCGCAGAGGAGGGAACCGGTCCAGGCTGCGGAGGCACATGGACCAGGTGGGCGGCTGTGAGTCCACATCTGCGGGACGGGCTCCGAGGAGAAGGCGCCTCACAAGAACGTACCTCTTGGCTCCCCTTCTCCATGTCCACACCCGGCCAGGGGCAGGCAGAGCCCTTGCTAGGTCTGTGCAGAGTAAGGACATTTGAGGGCCGGCACTTCCCAGCCTCCCCTCTTGGGGCTTTATAATCCCAGGTCTCAGAATTAAAGCCCTTCTGCTCTCTCCCACACACCTCATCCTCTCCACGTCCTGTCCTGATTTCACTGTCGCTCAGTGCCTCCTCCCCTCCCCTATCCTATTCCACCTCCCTACAAACCCCTTCCCTGGGCCTACCTTGTTGAGAGACAGGCTCCCCTCTCCTCCATCCTCTCCTCCATCCTCTCCTCACCCCTCCTCCATCCTCTCCAGGGACCTCCCTGTCTGGCTGAACCCTGGCTTTTCCTAGAGTCACGCTTCCCCAGCGCCCCCTCTTGCCTTCCCCACTGGGGCTATTTGCAGACTTTACTCACCACAGATCCCAGAGAGGGGGCTGGCTTGCCTGGTGCCTCATTGCCTCTTTCAAACCTTTGTTCTTCCTCTCTCTGGACACCAAAGATCACCCACCCTGGGGCTTGGATTGGACCCCCTCTACTCCCGCGAGTCACCACCCGCCCTCCTCACCTTGCCAGGTGCCCCTCATTCACTAAACACTTGCCATCTGGTGAGGCCTCCTAACCCCTCTATACGCAGCCGCCACCTCTCATGGTAGCCTCAGAAATCCTTTGCTGCCCTCAATCTCTCCATGTCAGCCTCTTCCTCTCAGGGCCTCTGTAAAATAAGAAACCTGGTCTCCTGTGCCCCGATCTCCTTTCCCTCAACCCCCTCAGGCCCTTCCTCCTGCTGCCCTGTTCCCCAGCCTCCGCCACCCCAGCCCTGGCCCTTCTGCCTCCCCTGGTCCCTCTTCTTTCCTTCGTGGTTTCTTGGTGCCCTCGCAGCTCTGTCCTTCATCTTCTCTTGGTTGGAAAAGCCCTAGTCCAAGTTCCTTGCTCCTGGCTGGTACCCTACGGAGACCCCACCTCAAACTCCCAGTCTCCTCCTTCAGCGGAGTCCTTGGTGTCACCCATCAGAACTTGTCCTTGTCCCCAAGTAGCTCCTCCTCCCACTTCTCCCAAGAGTAACTGGCAAAGCTTCCTCATGTTTCTTAAGCCTCGTATTGGTTTCCTCCCTCTCAACAGAAGATGGCACCACTTATTTCACTGACTCTCGGTCTTGAACTCCCCCAGCTTCCCTCCCCACACCCTACAGACATGAAACAAGATGGAAGTTAAAATGAAAGTTTTGGCAGAGGCGCAACAACTGGACAGATGTCAGATATAAAGCAGGTGGAGACAGTCTACCCTGGATACATATTCCCAAAGGCTCATGATCAAGACTCTCTTGGATGACTCTAAATCCCACAGCGTGGATATAAAGCGCTTGAAAATGAGGATTAGGAGGGATTTCCTTGGAGAGAGTTGTGTTGTGGGCACAACTACCCTTGCCTCTCCCAAGAGGAGGAACAGTTAAGGACTCATCTCTAGCTAAAAGATGGTATTGAGGAGAGTCGTTAATGTACAACCCCTGGAGTTTGGTGGACATGGTGGACTGGTGTCTGACACACACCTGAGGTATCTGAGGCAACAGTCAACGGGGCAGAGAGAGAAGAGGCTGCACTGGGCACCAGCTACCCTTGTCCCCCAGTGGAGCCAGAATGCATGAGTGTGCCTTGTGAAGGACATGTGGATTCAACAGAGAGAGAGAGAGAGAGCAACAGGCTGGGGCTGGCTAAATCCCACTTAAAGACTGCTTGGAGGAAAAGGTGACCCCCATGGGGTGGGGATGCTGAAAGCCAGGGGTTGAGGAGGAGAATGCAAGACCCTTGTCATGGGAGGTACAGCGAAATGTTCCCAGTGGAGGCTTCCGAAGGACCCACAGGAGTGACCCACAGAAGAAAGGGCTTGCAACACCTCTCAGGCCAGAGAGTGCAAGACTGTCTTTTTCTTTCTTTCTTTTTTTTTTTTTTGAGATGAAGTCTCGCATTGTTGCCCAGGCTGGAGTGCAGTGGTGCGATCGCGGCTCACTGCAACTTCCGCCTCCCAGGTTCAAGCGATTCTCCTGCCTCATCCTCCTGAGTAGCTGGGATTACAGATGCCCACCACCACGTATTTTTAGTAGAGGCGGGGTTTCACCATGTTGGCCAGTCTGGTCTCGAACTCCAGACCTCATGATTCGCCTGCCTCTGCCTCCCAAAGTGCTGGGATTACAGGCGTGAGCCACTGTGCCCGGCCAAGACTGTCTTATGATAGTACAAGCCAAATTAGAATTGCTCTGCTCTCCTGACCTCTTCTCCCTCTTCCTGCTTCACTCCTGACAGGGTCTGAAACCAGAATTACTATCCCAGATAAGAGGAGGAAGTGTGGACCTCAAGGTTGGCAGTGAGATTCTAAGGACCTATTCCCTCTCTTAGACCACAAGGTTCTCACCCACAGCTGGTCCCAGTGGGGGAAAAAATGGAGACACCTTGCCTTTGAATGAACTTAGGACTTTGCTTATTATCTGAGGCTGGATATTTGTAATTAGAGAATTGACATGGAGTTTACAACCTGAAGTGACCACAGAACCGATGACTCGTAGATCTCTATTTCCAGCACAGACTTCTCCTTTGAAATTTCATTCTTACGCATTCCAAAGCCTGCTGGCCATTTCCAACTAGCTGTACAAGCTCCTCAAACTCGCCATGTCCAAACCAAAAATGTGTCTTTATGAACCAGAGGCTCTCTTCTGTAGATGTTAGCTCAGTTGGAAGCACCATCCCTCTCTCCCTTTCTCCTTCCATAAACACACTTTATCATGCCAAATGATGCCTCATTTCCATTGCTTTTCTCTATTTGAACCATTGTGAAAATGCAATTCAGACATGATGATCCAGTTCCCCATCACACTAAAAAGAGAAACTTGGTTTAAACAGCTCTTTTTGGTGGCATCTGGACTTTTGGCCCAAGAGCATCTTTTACAAATTCAGTCTACCGTATTCTTTCCTCATTAGTAGGCAAGGATTAGAAGTGCTGTCTTCTCAATGCCGTGTAATGGTAAACGCCTACACAAGTGGGGTCACTGTAGTCATGGAGCAGACCAACTGTCAAGTGGTTAACCCGATGGTCCGGAATATGCTTAAGCTAATACAAAAATTATTACTTCCCCAGAAAACTTGTATATCCAAGAATTTATAACTGCAGACCTCCAACTTGACCCCAGGCAGAAATGCTGTGCCACAGATTAATTCAAATTCCACTGTGACCTCCCTCCTGCCTACATCTGATGCCTTAACTCCTCCTTTCCCTGTCTCTGGACAAAATTACCTTTAGTTCTCAGCTTATATCATGCTGTTTATTCAGCCCAGAACCCAGCTCTTCCAGCAAACCTGTCCTATATTCTAGGCTTGGGTAGATGCCTCTCTATTGTGGTTCCTTAATGCCCAAGGTATATCTCTATTATTTCATTTACCGTATTGTACCATAATTACCATTTTATTTTATAATTACCTTTTAAAATGTCTGTATCTACTACTAGACTGTGAAATTCCTGAAGTAAGGACTATGCCTGATTCAGCTCTGTATGTGTGGGACCTAACACTGTGCCTGGCACATAGTGGGTGCTCATATAATGTTTGTTGAATGAATAAATGAACGAACAGTACCTTCCGGTCTGCCAGATCGATCTTGTTCCCCAACAACACCATGGGGTAGGACTGCTCCATGGGGACAATCTTGGCCAGGACATCACCCCGCCAGATATCCAGGGCTTCAAAAGACTCCAGGTCGGTGACATCAAAAGCTAGGATGCAGCCATCGGAGCCCTTGTAGAACGTGGACACCATGGAGCGGAACCGCTCCTGACCGCCCGTGTCCCAGATCTGGAGGGGAAAGCAGTTGCCCCATGGGGCTGTGATGAATGGCTGGAAGGAGGCCCAGCTGGATTACATCATGTCAAGGCTTCTTTTGCTGGGTAGGGAGCAGCAGGCCCTGGTACAGGTGCATATGGTTCTTTCACACCGTGGCACGTTGACCCTCCCACCCACATACACTCCAGCACCTTTGTGGTAACATTTAACATCCTGAGAGTAATTTCACATCTGAGCTCTCATTTTTCCTCTGGGTCATCAAGGTGGCAATTGTTATTCCCATCTGACAGATATGGAAACTTGGACCTCGGGAATGTCTTGCCTAAGATCACCTGCCAGGTTTTCCAGAGAACCTGAGACTAGGCGTGGGGTCTCTCAACTCCTGGATTAATGTCCTTCCTTCTAGATCAGGCATCAGCATTTTTTTTTCTATAAATAACAGATAGTAAATATTTTAGGCTTTGCAGGTCATTCTGTCTCTATATGCCAATTATTACTCAACTCTGCCATTGTACTGCATAACTTGATAAGCTAACCAATGGTTATGGCTGTGCCCCAGTGAAGTCTTATTTACAAAAATAGGAGGTGGATCAGATTTGGCCCATGAGCTGAAGTTTGCTCATCTCTGCTCTAGACCATTCTAGCTCTGGTTCACATTGCTACATGAGTGGCTGTCCGGGCTTGGGGGGGATTTTCAGTGTATGTATGTTGAAGAGGGAAAAGGAGGGCTGCTCACCTGTAACTTCAAAGTTGTGTCACCCAATATGATAATCTTGGAGAGGATGCTGGCCCCCAGTGTGGTCTGGTATTCCTCATAAAACGTCTTGTGCACATATTGGTGAAGGAGGGAGGTCTTTCCCACACTGAGGAAAATTCCAGACACATGTGAACACACACATGCAAACACACATGCACATGCTTCCCTACCATTCTCAGAATCTTCCCAGGCCCCTCTTGCCACTGTCTCTCCCTGAGATTCTGAATTTCAAATTTCTGTGGTCCATGGACCACACTTTGAATAGCAAGGGAGTAGGAAATGGTTTCTAGAAGTAGAAGCCAATCAAAGTGAGCAGAGTAGTCTGGAGACGGTGGAATATCTCACAGTGGTGGTCAGGTTTTTTCTGTGTGTGTAGGACATGGGAGGACAGATAGATGCTAAATGGCTTGCCTAATTCACACAGCTGGTTACTGCAGAGTCACTGCAGATCTAGGACTGGAAACCATCTGTTTACATGCAGCTTCTTTGTCCCAACTAAGCTTCTTTTCTGGGGATGGGATACAGTTGCTGGTGTCACCCTGAATCAGAAAGGGACCTATGGGAGATGGGAACACATCAGGAGGTCTCACTGTCCTTGGGTGAGGGGCTGCTTCCCAACTCCCAGAGCTGAGCTTGGCTTACCCAATGGCTCCGACGATAATGAGTTTCAGGTCCACCTTCTTCCGGGGATTCATGGAAGGGCTTCAGAGCCTGTAAGGAAACAGAGGTCATCCACATGCTAGCCAATGTTCCTTGTGGCCATTGTCACTGAGTGTGGCCTCTGCTTTCCCCTTTCCAATGGGCAAGTTACTGCCCTGGGCCCGGGACTGGGTGGGGTTCTCCGAAGGAGGCACGTAATTCAGCAATCTTCATATATCTTCTCCCTCACTTTCCCTGGGGGCCTCCCCAAAGCTGGAAGGGTGGTGACTCTCCAGGACAGGCAAATCTCTCATCCCTCAGCTCTACCAACCCTGCTCTTGGAGGCAGCCTGGAGTGCCAAGAAGGCAGGACAGGATTAAACAGAGGCCTCGCAGACAGCCCAGCCTGGAGCCAGGGATGGAGGGGCATGCAGGAAGAAGAGATGGGGGTGGGCAGGACAAGGGTTCCATTGTCACGACTGCCCAGAGGCTTTGGATGGAAGAGTGCCCCTCCCCCAGCCCGAGGTCTAGCTGCAACTGCAGAATCAAAAGGCTCCTCTCTAATGCAGCTGGCGGGGGTGTAATTCATACATGTTTCTGGAAAGCTATTGGCAGCAAGTGTTGAGAGCCTTAAAAATGTTCCTGCCCTCCACTTCTAGGAATTTGTCCTAAAGAAATTATCCGAAATGTGGGTAAAGACTCTTGTCCAAGAATGTTCTTCACTGTACTGTTTATAAACATCCAACACTAAAGCAGTGGTTAAATCATAGCACACAATGAATTATTAAGCAGTCATTAAATGGAGTTTTTGAGAATATTACAATAATATGGGAAAATGCTCATGCCCTAGGATCTAAATAGGATCCTAGGATCCCTTAAGATCTAAATAGAAAACAGAAGATGGTACATTCTCAGCAAACTATTGCAAGGAACAAAAACCAAACACTGCATGTTCTCACTCATAGATCGTAATTGAACAGTGAGAACACTTGGACACAGGAAGGGGAACATCACACACCGGGGCCTGTCACGGGGTGGGGGCAGGGGGTGGGATAGCATTAGGAGATATACCTAATGTAAATGATGAGTTAATGGGTGCAGCACAACAACATGGTGCATGTGTACATATGTAATAAACCTGCATGTTGTGCACATGTACCCTAGAACTTAAAGTATAATAATAACTTAAAAAAAAACAACAGAAGATGGTAAACTGTACACACAATACCACCCAACACTTAAATGAGTTCCCACTTGTATAGAAAAACGCCTGGAAGGAAATATATTAAAAATTCCAGCAATTCCACTACAGGATATATAGACAAAGGAAATGAAATCAGTATGTTGAAGAGATGTCTACACTCCCAGGTTCACTGCAGCTTTGTTCACAGTAGCCAAGATATGGAATCAACCTAAGTGTCCATCAATGGATGAATGGGTAAAGAAAATCGGTACATGTACACAACGGATACTGTTCAGCTTTAAAAAAAAACTTACAATTTATGACAACATGGGTAAACCTGGAGGACCTTATGTTAAGTGAAATAACCCAGGCAAAGAGACAAATACCATATGATCTCACTTATATGTGGAATCTAAAAAAATTGAACTCGTAGAAGTAGAGAATAGAATGGTGGTTACCAGGAGCTGGGCTGGGTGGGCAGTTGGGGAGATGTTAGAGGATAAAAAATTTCAGTTAGCTAGGAGTAAATTCAAGAGATATATTATACAGCATGGTGACTATAGTTAACAACAATGTATTGTATTCTTGAAAATTCCTAATAGAGTTTATATTAAGTGTTCTCACTACTAAAAAATAAGCATGTGAGGTAATGCAGATGTTAATTACCTCAATTTAGCCATTCCACAATGTGTGCATATTTCAAAACAACAGGTTGTACATGGTAAGTGTGTACAATTTTTATCTGTCAATTAAAAAATGTAAGTTATTCTGGTTGGTAGGAAATTACATTATTTTAATTTTTTTCTCTATGCTTTTTAATACATTCTTTTTTTTTTTTACAATAAATATGTCTTGTTCCTATAAGAGAAATGTAAATGTATAGTGTGTGTGTGTGTGTGTGTGTGTGTGTGTGTGTGTGTGTTTAACAAGGTAAAGCAAAACTGTTGTAGGATACATGCTTAACTGGCCCTTTGTTTCACCCATATATGCACATATGCATATGCACTATCCCCAATTCCTGGTTCTTTTGTCTTTGGATGCACTAAGCATGCTGAGTAAACCTTGACTTGACTCTGCTCAGATGAGGTGTCAAAAGTTGGTCAGCTTGTGTTTCCCCTGCTACTTGGAAAAAGCTGTAAATAGGACATCCTGAGGCCTTGGTTCTGGTTCTCACTTTGTGACCTTGGGCCAGTTACTTCCCCTCTCTGAGTCTTGGCTTTCCAACTGGAGAATGAGCCAGCTGAGCCCCAAAGACTCAAGATGCCTTCTTGGTGAAAAATGCTTTATCTGCTGGAGCTGGACCTCATTGGCCATGAGAGCTGTGCTTGGGACACAAAGTTAAAATGGGAAGCCCCCAGAGATTTAGGATTGTTAGTGTCCCCTTCATGAACCATGTCATGGACTGTATTCATCTGTTCTCATGCTATAAAGAACTGCCTGAGACTGGGTAATTTATGAAGGAAAGAGGTTTAATTGGTTCCGCATGGCTGGGGAGGCCTCAGGAAACTTACAGTCATGGGTGGATGGGGAAGTAAACACATCCTTCTTTACATGGCAGCAGGGGAGAGAAGTGTAGAGCAAAGTGAGGAAAAGCCCCTTATAAAACCATCAGATCTTCTGAGAACTCACTCACTATTATAAGAACAGCATGGGGAAACCACTCCCATGATCTAATCACCTCCCACAAGGTCTCTTCCCCAACACATGGGAATTACAATTCAGATTACAATTCAAGATGAGATTTTGGGTGGGGACACAGCCAAACCATATCATAGACCAAAGGCGATTTGAAGCTCTACTCAGAGCTGTTTGTCCTAGGACCTGGAGTTGGTGGCACTGGAACTTCTGCTCTAACCCAGGAATGCTGGGTTGGCATGGTGAGAAATGGGTCTTCTTGATGGTTCACACGTTCATGCAGCAAATGCCTACATGCCTACCACATGCAAAGCCTTGCACTAGACACTGGGAACAGCACAGAGATGGAGCAAATAGGAACCCACCACACGGAGTCACCAAGGAAGAAAGGACAGTGGCTGAGTGATGACACCAGAGAGAAAGTACACAGCACCGCAGGAGAGGCACAGGGAAAGTGCTTGAGAATTCAGCAGAACTAGGTCCTGAAGAAATGAAGCATGTGGTTGGGGAGGGAATGAAATAACCAAAGCCTTGGGAAGAGATGAATGGGGAAAGTGGGCGATTTGCTTCAGGGAAGGGTGAGGTGAAAGGTGTAAAGGGAGGAAAGGCTGGAAAGGAAGCAAGATTAAGACGGGCTGTAAATATCTGACCAAAGATCCTGGCACTGACTCATTCATTCATTCATTCATTCACTCAGCAAACATTTCCTATATTCCAACAAAGAAGGCAATTCAAGGCTTGAACCTGGGCTGGCATTTTGTAATGGATGCTGCTGTCCACGAGGGAAATCAGCCAAGAGAGAAATGGTTCAGAAACCCCTGAAAAAGCATGGCTCTCGAAGTATTTGTTATCACTTTGGAAGGGTCCTAGGAGCAAAGGGAAGCTGTTTCCTAAAGGCATTGATACAACGTGCTAACTTAGCTTTAAAAAGCAACACAATGCCTTAGAAAGAGAGTCAGAACCAAAGGCAGGCAGGAAGAAGCGGGAGAAGAGGCAGCACTGGCTGAGCCCCTGCAGTGGGCTGTGCTAAGTATTCTACCGAGGGCAGGCCATCTTCACTATTACCCTCTGAGACAAGTACAACCAAGCTCCAAGAAGCTGAGTAATCACAACTCACCCAAGCCTGCACAGGGAGTAAATGGAAGAGCTAGTGTTTGAATCAAAGGCTGAGAAGGCAGGCTGGGTGCCGTGTCTCAAGCCTGTAATCCCAGCACTTTGGGAGGCCAAGGTGGGCGGATCATGAGGTCAGGAGTTCGAGACCAGCCTGGTCAACATGGTGAAACCCCATCTCTATTAAAAATACAAAAAAATGAGCCAGGCTTGTTGGCTCACACCTGTAATCCCAGCTACTTAGGAGGCTGAGGCAGGAGAATCACTTGAACCCGGGAGGCAGAGGTTGCAGTGAGCCGAGATCATGCCACTGCCCTCCAGCTTGGGTGACAGAGCAAGACTCGGTCTCAAACAAACAAATAAACAAACAAAAAATGCTGAGAAGGCTTTCCTGTGTCATGCCTCCTAATCACCAGAGTTTGAACCCATGGAATCTGTGTGCACAGGAATCTAGGGCACTGGGCTCAGATTTGGTGAATTTCAACAAAACCCTAGGAGAGTTGGAGGAGGCAGAGAAAGGCTGCCAAAGTGGCAGAGAGATACAGTGGGGGTGGAGAGAACTGGAGCTGCCCAACAGGAGCTATGTGTGAGGACTGGCCACAGGGTCAGAGACGCGGCATGCTAGGCAGAGGGCAATGCTTTCACACGCTGTCACACGACCATGCAGCAGGGCTGGAGTACGTCTCACGTTACAAGCTAACATTTGTTTGGTGGGCACTGTGCTGAGGGCTTTGTGAATACACAAATACACAATAGCATTGTCAGGGGTAAACAATACGTTATTATAATACATTGAACACATAGAATACAATATTCATAGCATATTGTGATACATTTACTGGCACAAATTAAGGACTCAAGAAATGCTAGCTATTTTATTGCACACAAAGATAGCCTGTGAGATTGATACTATTATTATCTGTTTTACCATTGAAGAAACAGATGTTTAGAGCAGTTAAGCAGTTCAGCCTTAAAGACAGAAAGCCCGCACGTGTTAGAGCAGGGTTTGAAGCTGGGATTGGAGTCCAGGCCTAACCCCAGAGCCAGCTCTCTTAACTACTGGGTTCTACTGTCTGTAAAACTAGAATGAGACTCACACGCCTTGCTCCATAGTGCCCCTGTTAGAGAGCTCAGGGGCTGGATGGGTGAGGGTTTGATGCAGGGAGGCCAGCGGCGTGCTTAGGAAGGGAAAGCTGGGGCAGGACGAGGAAGGTAGAAGGTGTGTGTGAGACATATAACAGGTCGCTATGCACAATGTGTAAGGCACTCATACAGATAATAAAAGGCAACACACCTATCAAAAATGGGCAAAGAACGTGAACAAGTTACCAATTGAAATCTTATAAAGAATTAGTAAGCTTTGAAAAGATACTCAACCTTACTAACTATCAAGGAAATTAACATTTCAAAATACCATTTATTTTCACCCAGTAGAGTGGCAAAATTTTAAAAAGATTGACAACAATATTTAGGGTTGGCAAGTGTGTTAGGGAAACACTCTTATATATTGTTGATAGAGTATGAATTAGCACAGTCTTTTTGGAAGGTAATTGGACAATATCAAAACGTAATATGCACACAGCCTAGGTTCTCATTCTAGGAATCTGTCCTACAGAAATACTCATGCATATGCTCAAACACATATTTGTACAGATGATTACTAAAGCATTGGGGTAATCTAACTGTCCATCAATATGACACTCTCTACATCAATTCTGATCCATTAATACTCTGGAACAATTAGCTGTTTTATTATTTATTTATTTATCTGTCTATTTAGAGACAGGGCCTCATTCTTTTGCCCAGGCTGGAGTGCAGTGGCATGATCATAGCTCCCTGCCACCTCAAATTCCTGGGCTGAAGTGATCCTCCCCCCTCAACCTCCCAGGTAGCTGGGACTACAGGTGTATGCCACCATGCCAGGCAGATTTTTTATTTTTCATTTTTTGTAGAGACAGGATCATGCTTTGTAGCCCCAGTTGGTATCAAACTCCTGGCTTCAAGTGATCCTCCCACCTAGGCCTCTCAAAATGTTGGCATTACAGGTGTGAGCCACCACGCCTGGCCAAGGGCAGTTTTAAAAAGATGAAATAATGAAGTGGGAAGCTACACGTGATGGCTTTAAGTAAGAAAAAAGAAAATCACTGAACGTTTTATATAGTGTGATAAGAAAGCTAAGGGGAGATATACACTAAATGATTCATAAGAGGGATGGGAAAGGTAGATTAGAGGCTAAGAGCTATCATTTTATGTTATATATGTTTTGTTTTAAAATTTGTTACACAAGCCTAAGTTGTTTTGTAATTTAAGAATATCAAATAATCACTTAACATTTCTTTAAAAAGATGTGTGGATGGCAGCCCAAAGCAATTTGAGCGTGATTTTCAGATAGGACAAATTACTTCTGTGAGCAAGAGAGTGAGGATGTCTGGTGCCATGGAGTGATCATGAGTTTGGGACTCAGAATTCTCATCCTGGCTCCACACATTTGTGGCCTTGGATGGGTTACTGAACCTTGGGGCGTCTGTTCCCTCATGGGTAAAATGGACATCACTCGTGGCTGTGGCTTCCTCTGCAGGTGACATGTGTCATGATCTTATAACACAGCACTGGTCCCCAAGTTGGGAAGGATCCAGATAATTGTTTACCAGCTGGGAGAGGGGGTGAGTCTAGAGGCCAGGGCCCTGGTTGGTCATGCTTGCCACTTCCTATGGTGTAAACACTTCCACCATGGCTGACTTCAAGCTACCAGCGTGGAGCCTGCTCCAGCACACTCCTGCAAGGACTTCAAAGGTCATTTATGCCAAGCACCACCCTGTGCTTGAGTCATCTCTTCCACATCCATGAAAGGTAGAGCCAGACCTGCCCCATGGAGCTGCCTCCCGCTCCTAGGAGTATTTCTCCTGAGGGCCACACAAAAAGTGCTCAAGATCCTGGTAAGTTACCTCGGCCTTAACTTTGGGCTCCCACATTCCACCCCCTCCCTGGTTCCTTTCCCCTAGATGCTCACTCAGGGTGTGCTGCTACTGCAGGTTCCCCTACCCTATCCTAGAAGGGCAGGAGTTTGCTGAGGCTGCTATTTTATAAGAGCCCAGTCCTTGGGCCCAGCCTCACTAGGAGCAACAAAGAGTGACTGGGACCAGGTCCGTGGGAAGTGGGGGCGGTTTGTGGGGTGACGCAGCCTGGCTCACCTAGGAGGCACACGCAGATCTCATACAGTGGTTGGAGTCCCTTTCCATGTCATCTCTGCTGGGCTTTGGCAGTAGCCGTCTTTTTTTTTTTTTAGAATTGAAGTTTTTTATTAGAAACTTTTTAACTATGAATTCAATTTTTAAAGAAGCGTAGGACTATACAGCTTATCTATTTCTTTTTGAGATAACTTTGGTAATGTGTATCATTAAGGAATTTTTCTATTTCATCTCAGCTGTGAAATGTATAGGAATAAGTTGTTCATAATATTTCCATTTTATCCTTTATCTGTAAAAAGTGTAGTGTTGTCACTAAGCCTCATTCCACCCACTCAGCTGACTCAGATGCTTCAAACCAAGGAATCCTCCTAGAGGCTAGGCTGAGTCATCCTCTACTGTTAAGTAACAGTGAAAAGCAGGATTGAAATGCAGGACTCTGCCTTCAGCCAGCCCCGGTCCACACAGAGCAGAACTTGCGGTGACTGACTCCCCACTGGAGGTCCCCAGCTCTTTCCCCTTCTTGTCTGGCAGCACTTCTAAGCCTGGAGTCCTGGTCCTGCCCATTTGCCAAAGCTACAGTGTAGCTCAGCCCCTGTGGAGTAAGAAGGACTGAGCTGTTGCCAAGCCCCAGTGCCTGGCACCAGCCCTCCAAGAACGCTGGAACCCCCTTCCCTCTCATTTCTCACTTCCTTTCTCTCCTTACCCCGCTGGCTCCAACCTGAAACCAGGTACAATCTTCTGTCGCATCTGCATTGGGTGGGGTATCACTTCTGCTGACAGGAGACGAGTGAGCAGGGGCAGGTAAGGATTCTGAAGCAGACAGAGTCTCCCGCCCCCATCATACTATCTTTCCAGGCTCTTGTCCACTTTCAGCACCTCCCCTCCTGATCCCATACCTTGGAAAAGGACAAATATATCCACCCTAAAAAATAATGGGACCTACAATCTTGGAAGCAAAATTTGTCTGTGAAAAGAGGCTATGTAGAGAGCACAAGGCTTTGTTGCCTCCCAGTAATGTTCACAATTCCGCCTTACCCACCTCAACCCTAGCAGGTCTAGACCTGCTCCCTCTGGGAAGTGTACCTACAGCCCTGGTTTCAGGAGGCTTGGCGCTCTTGTTCTTTAGGTTATTTGAGGATCTTGTCTCCTTGAGTAGACTGTCCATGCCTGAAGGGCAGGGCTGTGCCTCACACCTCTCTGTATCCCACTAAAGAGCCTGACCAATGCTGGGATTCTAGAGGTTTCCATGAACAGCCATCCATCCACTCATCCATCCATCTGTTCATCTGTCTGGCACAGGCAGTGCATGCTTACTAAGCCCCAGCACTGTGTAGGTCTAAAGATACAGACAAGTTACTATCTCCGTGGGACCTTTGTGGTGGGAGATTGATCTGTAAGCCCAAAGAAATTATTTGTATTAATACATAATACCTAGCAATTATAGAGCACTTGCAGTTTACAAAATGCCACTGAAGCCCAATGGATACCTGGGTCAAGAACTGGGTATAGAACCCAGATCCGTCCGACTCTATTCATTGGCTCCCCTGGCATTGCAGCACTGGGCAAGGAGAAATATTTATGATTTAGAACAGGAGTGATAATTTCCTACTCCAGGGGCCAAGCTTCCCCTGATGAGACCCTTAGGCCAACACAATTCCATCCCAGAAGGCACTCTGTCAATGTCACAAGGGGACTCTGGGTGCCAGCAGGGTTTTGCCCTCATGCAGGGCTCTAGTTTCTGGCAGGTCCTGCAGGTTTGAGGCAGCAGCGCCATCCTCTCCTGACTGGGCCAGCAGCTGCGTCCTGGGACTGATGGCCTTTGTGGGTCTCCGAGCTGGGCCTCAGCTCTTCGCACAGGCAGGGAAGTCTTTTCTTGCTGCCACACCCTGGGAGCTTCTCCAGGGTGGGGTCTTAGGGCTGGATTTAAACTCTGCAGCTGCCAGATTGGAAATCTCATCCTTGCATTCCCTGCCTCCACTCCTCCACCCAAATACCCAAATAACTCCCAGGGCTGCAGGGGCAGACAGAAGCACTGAGACAAGCTCCCGGGGCACTTACAGCTGTGGCTGTGCAGCACTCGGCCTCCGCTCTGAGGGCAGCTGGGAGTCCTCTCTCAGTCTGGTGGTCTCTTCTTAGAGCAGTGGTCTCAGCAGGGCCAGGGAAGAGGCTCTGGGACAAAGACAGGCAAAAGAAAGTCTGTTGAAGCCACGCCACTTCCCTCTGAGTTTTCCTCCTCTCCCTCTCGTGCACAGACTTGGGAAAGTTGCAAAAGAGGCTGGGCCGGGTGACCTCAGCTGTGTGGGTGGAGGGGGTGGAGTGGAATGGAAAAGCTAGGCTCCAGAGCTGACTGGATTTGGGCCCTTCAAGAATTTCATTTATAGGAACCGTGGCCCATGGTGATGAGGATGGGAGCTATGGGTCAGGGGGCCTGCAGGGTAACATGTCCCATTTGTGGGCCCCATAAAGAGCCTCTGGTTGGCTTTAGAAACTTCTGCTTCTGCTGCTGGAAGCCACCCAGTAAAGGGGCCCTTTTGTTTTCGTTGAGGTTTTAGATACACATGGGTAGAAGATTCAGTCCTACCACCAGCCTGGTAGGAAGAGGTTCTGGTCCTTATGCTTTGCCCTTATCCCAGTACCTGTATACACACACACACACACACACACACACACACACACACTCCTCCCCTACTCCAATACACACAGCACACACACAGAAAACATACATACATGCCACACACCACACACACTGCCCACACACACCCCACACATGCACACCACACATGCAAGCAACACCCAAACATACACACAATATACACACCACACACACACACCACATACACAAACTCCACACATACATACCACACACAACACACACAAATAACACACGCACCACACATCACACACATCACACAAACACACCATACACACACACCGCACACACCCCCGCACATACACACCACACACAAACACCACACATACATACCACACACCACACACACATCACACACACACCCCACACATACACACCACACACAAACATCACAGATCCATATCACACACAACACACACAGCAAACACACCACACAAACACCACACATACATACCACACACAACACACACTACACAAACACACCACACATACACACCACACACAAATGCCATGCATACATACCACAACACACACAAAACACAAACACACCACACACAGCACACATACATGCCACATACAAGATACACACCACACGTACACTCCACACACAAACACCATACATATATACCACACACAACACACACTCCACACATACACACCACACATACATAGCACACACAATACACACGTACTACACAAACACACCACATACACACCATATATACCACAGACACACCACCACACACACACATACACACCACATACACACCACATACACACACATACACACACATACATACACACCACACACACAAACAACATACATACACTTACACACAGAAGCAACACATATGCATACCACACACATGCACATCACGCACACAAATTACATACACACCACACACACCACACACACATCGCACACACACACACCACACACACAAACAACATATATACATACCACAGACAACACACATCACACAAACACATCACACACACCCATGCCACGCACACATGCGCGCGCGCACACACACACACACACACAACAAATACATACATTAAACTCCACACCAGGCTTGTGAGATATGAGGCAAGTCCTGACGTCTCCTCTCAAGTGAGGATTGTGACCCAACCTGAAGTACCTAGGAGACTACAGCAATTTAAAACGCCGCTAGCATGCGGCTAATTTGGTATCTCTTTGAGCTGCCTGGAACCATGCCTGGAATCGCTATGACTGGCGGATGAAAGCAGAATGAAATGAGTTTAGACAGGCCTTGCTCAGGGGATACAAGGCCTCACCAGAGCCCCCTCAAGTCGTGTAATGCATTGGATGTCCCCTTCTGCCCCCACATCTCTGGGGGCAGATTGTGCCTCCTTGGGCCCATTCTTCATCTAATAATCCTCTGGGTCAGGGAGTTCTTCCTCGTATCCAACAGAAGTCTCTGACTCTGCTCTGTGGCTGCTGTCTACGTCTCATCTGGCCGATTAGACTACACATTTCTCGGGGGGGTGCAGAGCGAGTATCCTTGAATCCCACACTGGGCTGCTCACGGTGCCAGGTACAGGCCTGGCCTGGGTATGTTGTGTGTGGTTTCTTCAGTGGAAAAAAAGGTGAAGCTGATTTCCTTGTTTCAATTAGCAAACATTCCTGGAGGGAGGAGGCAAAGGTTTCCATGGAGAGCAGCACTGGGTGGCACACACTGAAGCTGGAAAACCTCCACCCTAGAGCACATTCACCCCAAATATTCCACCTGGGTGACTTGGGAAAGCGGGCATCAGGCCACCCTCAGGCCAACCACTAATTTTTGATGACTGACTTGTTCTTAAATTGTTGCCCTTTAGAATTTCCTCCCATAGTCTTCTACTTTTTTCTGAGGCCAAGTTTTAAGTGAACACTTGTGTGTGTGTGTGTGTGTGCACGTGCGAGAGAGAGAGAGAGAGAAGGGATTAGACAGCAAGCCCCCACAGGGGCGTAGAGGCACATTTGATCCTCTTTTAGAGAAGATGTGAGCGTTCTTGTGGGGCCCACTGCTGCCGAGGGTGCTTTGGGAATGGGAAGTGAACTGTCCATGCTGGTCCTTACAGCCTTTGCACATGGGACTGAAACTGGTACTTTCAGGGTCTATTTGCAGAACTATCCCAACACCTTTGGAAGCCAAGTCGTCAGCCACCCTCAGACTCTAGTCCCCACTTCCTCCAGCCACGTGGATGAAAAGTCAGCAATTTCCCTTCTGTTCCTGTGACACATGCTCCAGAGGAGAATGACGCCAGCTTCGACCCTGCAGAGGAGGCCCTGACGCTGTATTCATCCTCACTGCTTCCTTCCTTTCCTCCTGTAGGTGTTCATTCAATGATCTGAGCCTTTCAGACCCTTTCAAGGGTGCAGAAATGGAGAATTGCATTTTTTCAGTGGAAATAAAACATGGAGCAAATAATGGCATAAGAAACACAGCTTAAGGGTTGTGGGGATTTAGAGGAAGGAGAGATTAGTTCTAGTTAGGAGAAGTCGAAGAGGGCTTTATGGAAAGGAGGCACTTGAATTGGAGCTTGAAGGATGCTGAGGATAGGATTGTGCAGATGTGTGGTGAATGGAGCAGGAAGTCAGGCTCAATATGCAGAGAAACGATGTGGGGCCAGGGAGAGGAGATGCTGAACCTCTGGCTGGCAGAAGACAGAGTGTACGGGAAGGGCTCCAAGTCATAGCTGAGCACCTTCACAGTGCATCCCATGGGCTGAGATTTCAGTCTAGTGTCTCACAGCACTGTGTCTGACAGCTTTTCACTGTCATCTTAACACTCATTGAAAGGGAGTCATTTTGGGGAAACGGCATGTTCCTCTGATGAACAGAGGAGATGGAATCCTAGGACTAAGTGTACAAGTAAGAAAATCGGGATGATTCCGTTTGGTGCAGGGTAGACTAGATGTCCAGGGAGAACAAGTGGTCAAACTGAGGCAAAGCCCTGGGAACCCTGGAAGTTGCATCAGCTTGGATTGCATCTGGCGTGCAGCGGGGCACCATTGCGAAGTGTACATCAGGGGAAGGGTGTGATTAGAGCTGGGCTTCAGAAATATTTACCGATCAGGCACTGGTTTGTCGGAGGGCAAGAGACAGAATCACTGTCAGGATGTTCCTGGAATATTTCTGGTGAAAGGTAATGACTGGAGGGTGGGGACAAGGAAACAGATCACAGAAGGATTTCTGTGGCAGAACCAGCAGGGTCGTTGTGAAGACTGAATGATGTTGTGTGGCTTAGGCATCACTTTCACACTGCAGCCTCCACTACTCAGACTCCTGGCCAGCACCAGACCAGCACATTCAACAGCCAGGGCAGCCCTTGCACAGAAACGGCCCTTCCGAAAACCCTCAGGGGTGCTGTCTGACAATGGGCTCCCACATGGCTCTTGGGGTGCTTTGTCTTAGATGAAAAATCATAAAGCCATTTACTGTAGGGCTTTCTGCCTTTTATGAGACTCGCCTATGCAGAGTGAAGGTCTGTGGCCTGATGAGCACAGGCATGTAAGCTAGGTAAATGTTTACGTATGTGCAATGTCATTGCATCCTCACAATAACCCCATGCAGCACAGTCGTCCCTTGGTGTATGTGGGGAACTGCTTTCAGGACCCCCAAGTATATTAAAATTTGAGCACACCCAAGTCCTGCGGTTGGCCCCGAAGAACCCACATATAGGATAAGTCCATCCTCCACATACATGGGTTTTGCATCCCGAGAATACTGTATTTTTTTTTTTTTTTTGAGATGGAGTCTCTGTCGCTGAGGCTGGAGTGCAGTGGCACGATCTTGGCTCACTGCAACCTCCACCCCCTGGGTTCAAGCAATTCTCCTGCCTCATCCTCCCGAATAGCTGGGATTACAGGCGCCTGCCACTATGCCCGGGTAATTTTTGTATTTTTAGTAGAGATGGGGTTTCACCATGTTGACCGGGCTGGTCTCGAACTCCTGACCTCAAGTGATCCACCCACCTCAGCCTCCCAAAGTGCTGGGATTACAGGTGTGAGCCACAGCACTGGCTGAATGCTATATTTTTGATCTGCCTTTGGTTGAAAAAATAAAATCTGTGAATAAGTGAAATCATGCAAGTCCAAACCTGTGTTGTTCAGGGGTCAACTGTAGTTCCTATTATGATGTCCATTTGACAGATGAACAAACTGAGGTGCAGAAGTCCCACAACTGATGCTAGGAATGAAATCCAAGCCTGCCTGACTCCGGAGCCAGTGTTGTTAACTGTTCTACTACACTGCTTTCATAGCTCGTTTGTATCAGGCTGTTCTAAATTGACTTTAAAAGCAATAATTTCCTCAAAAAGGAAAAATAAAAGTAAAAACCAAACAAAAAATGTATGTGTGCAGATGTGTAGTTGTGATCTACTCTGAGCATGACACCCAAATCAGAAGGGAAGTTACCACTCTTAGCCAGGTGCTTCCACCCAGGTAAGATCATTGATTCTTCCCAACAGCTCTGAGAGGTGAGTGTCTTAGGGACATGACATCATTACCCGAGGCCACTGAGGAACCAGGACTCTGTGGAACAATGGCTGATGCCACATATGGGACTGGAAGTGTGCAAGATGGGCTGGAAAAGTTCACAGGAACTAATTTGAAGGTCACCCACTGGCTAAAGATAGGGTGATTTGGCATTAAAGAAAAAATTGGTGAGTTGAAACACATCAAATATGTTTAAAATTCTTTGGTGTTTAATATAGTACCAACTCATTCTGAAAACTGGTAAACAAAGGAAACAAAACCCCAAGTAATTGTCTTCTTTCCTGGGCAAATGGTTGATGAGGGAAAGGTTTTATCTTGTTTTATCTTGTTTTCAAGACAAGGTCTTGCTCTATCACCCAGATTGGAGTACAGTGGCAAGGTCATAGATCACTGCAACTTTGACACCCTGGGCTCAAGCAATCCTCCTTCCTTGGCTTCCCAGAGTGCTGGGACAGACGTGAGCCATCGTGCCCAGCCAAAGATTATTATTATTTTTTTTATTTTGAGAAGGAGTCTCGCTCTGTTGCCAGGCTGGAGTGCAGTGGCGTGATCTTGGCTCACTGCAGCCTCTGTCTCCTGGGTTCAAGCGATTCTCCTGCCTCAGCTTCCTGGGTAGCTGGGACTACAGGCGTGTGCCACCATGCCTGGCTAATTTTTGTACTTTTAGTAGAGAAGGGGTTTAACCATGTTGGCCAGGATAGTCTCCATCTCTTGACCTCGTGATCTGCCTGCCTTGGCCTCCGAAAGTGCTAGGATTACAGGCGTGAGCCACTGTACCCAGCCTATGTTTTTTATAGAAGAATTCCAACTAACAAATGCCAAAGGGATAGCAGAATTAGAAAAACACCTGTTCTGCCGCCCCTAATTATAGTGTGGATCTCAGCAATGATCATCAATGACCACTGAAACGATCAGGTAAAATGCTGAACTTTGTAATGAATGATTAAAGCCAAGAACTCCAAACCCACCCAGCAGTCTTAACATTACCAATAGAGAGGCACCAGCATTATCTGCCTCCTGACAGGATGCAACAAGAAGTACCCAGCACCACCTAGGAAGTATTTTTGCCACAAAATCAGACCTCCAGATCTAACTACCATTTTATAGGAAAGATAAGTTCAGAGAACCATGTCAAATGACACCTCGGGATTTCAACCAGCAACGTTCAAATGTGCTAAACTCTGTAGATGGAAAGAGACTTACAGACATTTCAAATAAATGCAATATATGGGCCTTGCTTGAATCCTAATACAAACAATCCAACTACAAAAACAGCCAAACATTTGTGGGACAATGGGAGATGCTTGAATTCCGATTGTATATTTAAGGATGTTAGAAATATTTATGGACAAAATGATGTAATGCTCGGAATTTGCTTCAGAATGATCCAGGTACAGCATGTGGAGCTGGAGAGAGGAGTGGGCAGCAGTGTAGATAAACAGGCCTGGCCGTGTGTGGATGGGTTGTCAGGGCTGAGTGGAGTTGCAAAGGGATTTATTATACCATGATCTCTGCTTGTGCATATGTTTGGAGATTTTCATAATCAAATGTGAAAATTTTTGATTTTCATAATCAAAAATCAATACAAAATATGAATGTATAACGTAATTCCTCCATCATGACGGTGGTGGGAGTGGTGTGTATGTGTGAAGTGTGTGTGTGTGTATATGTGTGTGTGTGTGTGTATTCTCATGTTCTGTTTGGTCTTAATTCAAGTTGCAACCCTGGAAACAGCTACATTCTCTGGAAAATAACTTTTTGTAGGTGTAAAGAATGCCCCAGCCTAACATATTCAAGGTCTGTCAGACAGGCAGGCACAGACACAAGGCCCCTCCTTAGGGGACTGCTGGGGCCAGTCCCACACGGTTATTCCCACGGTCAAAGACTGAGTAAAACTGTCGAATGAAGACATCCCCCAGGATCCAGAGGGGCCCAGCTGGAGGGTGGATGTCAAGTCCTTGAAAGCCACTGCTGCAGAACTGCATTCCATCCACGAAGTCCTGTGGGTTGGAAAGAAGGATGCAAATGACAAACGGGGGAAGAAGGTAGTAGTACTGCCTGGAGGCTGCCTGTGTGGTGGTGGTGGCTGGCACTGGGTGGCCTTGGACAGCTGGTGGGTTCCACCATTTTGGTCGGTGGGTTCTTCCTCCTGCTTCATATGTCCCTACCCTAGGTTGCTTAATAAAGTGTTTGTCTGCACAAGTCCATTCTTATGGGCCTGGGGTCTATGTTCTACAATTTTGAGAACTGTTCATCTGTTATATACTCCCACCTACCCCTGTCACCATCATTTTACAACTGGGAAACCCTTGCTGCATGGCTAGAAGAGCAAAAGGGTTGGCACCGGAAGACCTTGGTTTAAATTCTGGTTTCTTTAGTTTCTAGTGAAGCTCAGCTTAGTTTTTGTTAAGGGAGAGAAAGAACTGTGTTAGTGGCTATCCACTGCTATTTTCTTGTTGATGTTCTGGAAACAAACATTTGAGTGACCCCCTTTAGATGAGGCAAGTAGGCATTCCTTGTTCAAGAGAAGAGTGTCACCTTCTCCAATCTAATTTTTAGTTTGGCAAAGACGTGCTCTACCAGGCAAGTGTGGTCTTTCCAACAATGATTTGAAATGTGAAGTTGCTGATGAGGGTGTGGGAAAATTTGCAGAGGGCTCAGGGAGACTTCTTGAGAGGAAGGACGTGAAAAGTCAAAATTTTTACAGCAGTTTTGATGGATCAAGGTGGCTCTGATTGAAATCTGCTGGTGGGAAAGAACCACTCACTGTACTGCGAAAGAACCAGCACAAGACCTTGTGATCCACCCGCCTCGGCCTCCCAAAGTCCTGGGATTACAGGTGTGAGTCACCATGCCCGGTCAGGTCATGATCTTCTAAAATGATCTTCTAAAAGAACCACTCACCATACCGGGAAAGAACCACGCACCTCCCCTCCCCTGGCTTCTAGGAAACTCCCACTCTTTTTTGGGCTCTCCAGCGCCTGGAGCACATCAGTGATTTCCACCTGGGCAGGGACTCAACTCACGTGGGGGAAGGTGAGAGTGTGGGTGTGCTGGGGTGTTGATGGGCATGTGGACTGATGAACAGGGCTCAGTCTAAATGTCTCACTGGTCCTCAGTGTGGTGTTCAGAGTGGCAGCTCCATAATCCCTATGTGGCAGGAGCTTAGGGGACTTACCATGAAGCTGTGTTTTAAAGCAAACATTTGTTTTTATTTGGATTGTCTGTTGGTGGCTTTGGGAAGGAGTTAATAGAGGCTTAGGGGTAGGGCTGAAGCCCTCAGTCTATACCTTAGCACCCCTCTTCTGATGCAGTCACCCTGATGCTGTGAGTGACTCTTGGAAAAATTAGTGTGTTGAAGTGTGGTGCCGAATACCTAGAATGCTGAAAATTCAGACCAACTGTGGTGTGAGGTGCTCATAGGTGTCCAAAAGGTCTGGGAGTTCCCTTTCTACTTCACCCTACAAACTTGAGAATTTACTGCAACAAAAGACATTTTCTTGCTAGAGGAGGAATGTTAATTTGAAGTTAGAACAAATATAATCTTATTCTCCACTCCTCCCTGCAAACAGCTCATATCTTGAACCATTTATTTGACTCTCTGAGTCTTGATATTCTCACCTATAAAATGAGATAGTAATAGCTCCAGTCTGACCTGGTGGTTGAGGAGATTAAACTTTGTCAGTGGAAAAGCCCTACATGGCAATATCAGAAGACTTCCTTAAATGGCTTGCCTGAAGTTCACTACTGCTTCATGGCAGAACTGGAAATTAGAGCAAGCCCCGTGGTCTTTCCACCACAGGCAGCTGTGTCCCTCCCAGAGGGAATGCCACATGAGAGCAGAACAACGTGGGGCGGGGCTTAGGGTAAAGGCGGGCAAAGTGCAGGCGATTGAAAAGGGGAAGTGGCAGGCATGTGGGGAGGGCCCTGTGGCCTGCAGAATAAGGAAACAGTTCTTACCAGTAGGGTGTAGGCAGTTGGGCTGAGGGTATAGGGGACTCCGTTAATGGTGAAGGTGACATCCGGCATGACGTTAAGGTTGGCACACTCCACAGCATACTAAAACCCAATACGGAGGATCCGTTTAGAGCCTTGCCACCTCCCAAGAGAAGGCCTGGCTCTCCTGTCCCCACCACTCCCTTGCGCAGGCAGGCACTCACTTCTCCATCCACGGGGGCTGCCCCAATGGCGTTTTGCAGCTGCTTAATCTTGTCGGAAGGGCCAGTGATGAGGGAAGTCCCTGTGTCCACAATGGCCTGGCAGCCCTCGGAGCAGAACATAACAGTGCCTCCCACCTGGATGCTGAGGGGACAGGGTTGTGGTCGGCCCACCTTCCCTCCCCCGGCTCCTAGGAAACTCCCACTCTTTTTTGGCCTCTCAAATGCCTGGAGCACATCAATGATTTCCACCCACCATATGAGTGTTCCTCAATTGTTTTCTACTGAGATCCATAGGAAGAAATCTGTTTACTTCTTGACCCAGTGCACACACACACACATTCATGCAATTGAAGTGCACTCTGGTATTTTCTACTGTATTCCAATTCGTCTAAAAAATGTAGGTGTCTCAATCTCTTGACCTTGTGATCCACCTGCCTCGGCCTCCCAAAGTCCTGGGATTACAGGTGTGAGCCACCACACCTGGTCAGGTCAGGATCTTCTAAAATGATGTCATGACCCATAAATAGGTGAATTCCTACAGTTTGAAAAACTCTGAATAGACAGTGAGCATTGAGGCCTTTTATTTTTTGCATTCCTAATGCCTGGTACCTTGCAGGAACTCAATCCTAGCTGAATTGAAACTTGAACTACACTTTTCCAATTCCTGCATTGTCTAGCACGGCGCTAGGTATGAGGCAGGCATGTAGTCCCACTTCCCCAATTGCTTCGTGCCCAGATATTGTATATATTTCCTGGCTCAGTTTCAATGTAACCCCCTCCATGATGCACTGGAGCATTCAGATAGAAGCGGTCATGCCTGTCTGCTGGACCACATTGGTGGCACCTCTCTTGGAGCACTGACCACCTTCCATTTTACAGGATAGTGGTTTGGGTGCATCTCATCTTCTGTACAAGTTTTTTGAGGACAAGATCTGAGCCCAATTCACCTGTGCAACCCCCCATGTTACTCATCCCTTGCCTTGTGTGTTAATGTTAAAAGAACAAAGGGGAGCAGGCTGTGCACTGGTATTGACTGTATGTTGAGTTAAAAGCACGCCATGTGTACAAGGAAGGAAGCTGTGTCTGCTGCCCTGGTTACAGAGGTCCCTTCCTGCACACTTGCTCAGCACCTCCATACCTCCAACCACAGTAAGCTTCTGGCATCCTCTGCTAGTGACCAGTGGTTTTTCAGTTAAATCGGTTTGAGTTGTGCCTCTTTTCAGTTTACCCCTAGTACTGTCACTACTTCATGGGGAATACTCACTTATCCAGTGCAATCTGCCAGTAAGCTTGCTTGGTGACTGGGACCCAATTCAGGCTCCCAGAGAAATGGGAGTGGTCGTAGCCTCCAAAAATCAGCTCGCTCCCCGCACCACCTTCTGGGTTACTACATGGAGAGAAAGACAAACTGTCCAGGAAGGGCCACTGCAAAACTCTAGGGGTGAGCCTCAGCTAGGACCCTTTGCTTCTTGGTCTCATGCCAAGCACACAGGTAGGCAGAAACATCAGTCTGGGCTTTGAGACCGGGACTCTGACTACTGCAAGTGAATTGGTCTGGGCCTTTTTGACACAAGGTTAGAAACAACTCCCCTTGACCATTTGTGAATGTGTTTCTGCTTCTTGGATAAAAAGGTTAAGGAGGTGGGAAATGGGGCCAGCAGGTCTGTCATTCAGAACCAAGGCCAGGACCATCCTGGGTGGGTATACACTGTGTGGCTTGAAGCAACCCCCAAAGACACCTTTTCCCAAAGTATCTTCCCCACTATGGTTGTGACAGTGCCTGGCGTTTTTGTGTTATTCACTCCTTATGTTAAGGCAAAGAGGCTAATATGAATGTATCATGACTTACTAGAGCCTGAAAACTTATTTTCATTGGTATTGATTTCTCAGATTATGTTCTGGAACCTAGCAGGACTCTGGAGAAATAGGACCTAAGACAGATTCATTTTGAGGAGGAAAAGGATCAGAAAGATACAAAACTGAAATCAGGGTGGTAAAGAGGGAGAGGAGTGAATACCTGTAGGAATTTTAGGACAGTGGTTTTACAGAGGGAGTGGGGAAAGGAACTCACATTTGTTGATTACCTTGGTGCAAGGCCGTGTAGTGGGGATTTTATCTGTCTAAACTTATTTAACTCACATCAACCTAGTGGTCCGTGGAAGAAACTGAGCCTCAGTGAGATGAAGCAATGTAAGTGGCAGGATTCAAATCCAGGCCAGTCTGACTGCCAAGCCTTGATATTCTCCATTACAGCCCACTTTTCCCAGGCGACGGGAGAAGGAAGTTCTGCAAGGGGAAGCAGAGGTGTCTAGACAACTTGCCTCTCTTACTCACAGCTCTTCCTAGGCCTGGTCCTGAGTGCTGTCATGCTGGAGAGGAAACATAGCTTGATAGGGAAAATCCAGGACCCTCCATGTGGGAGAGGGGAATGAGAGGAATGGGCTTATGCTGAAACAGTGTGAACGCAGGCCAGGTCTGAGCTGGAAAAAGTCAGCAAGGTCAGAAATCACCTTCCTGTGTAAGGAGGAAGAGGAGATGACCCTCCAAGGATGCCGGGCAAGAGTGCCTAGAAACAGGTGAGCCTCATGACCTTTTCCAAAAACAATGTGCAATTTTAAAAATTGTTGTAAAAATATGTCACATAAAATGTACTATCTTACCCATTTTTGAGTCTACAATTCAGTAGTGTTAAGTATGTTCACACTGTTGTAAAATCCAGACCTTTCATTTTACAGAACTGGAACTTTATACCCATTAGGCCATCAACAACGGTTTAAGAATTCCTCACTTCCCCTCCCCAGGCTCTGGCAACTGGCAGTCTACTTTCTGCCTATGAATTTGACTAGTCTAGGTACCTCACCTAAGTGGAATCATACAGTATTTGTCTTTTTGTGACTAGCTTATTTCACTTAGCATTATGTCCTCAAGTTTCTTCTATGTTGTAGCATGTCTCAGAATTTTCTTCCTTTTTAAGGCTGAATAATATTTGATTATTTGGATATGCCACATTTTGTTTATTCATCCATCAGCATGCAATTATTTTATTGTCAGCTTTTCATTTTTTTCTGCCTCCTCCTCCTGCAGGTACTGTCTTTCTTGTTTCACTGGGTCCCCAGTGTGAGCATCATAATCAGCATATAATAGGAGCTTGATATTTAGTGACAGCATCAATGAAGAACCAATCCCAGAGATTCCTTAAATTTAAGCCAGTGTGGTAGAGTTTACAAAGTGTTTTTACAGCTACTTGATGAAGCAAATCCCATTTCCTCAATATTCAGAGAGGTTAAATGTTTTGACTAAGATCACACAGCTGGTAATGGACCAAGCTACCTAAACCAGGTCTTTTGACTGCTAAGTCAAGTGTATGTGTTGTCTCCCTGTAGTTATAACTGACTTTAACCTCACAGACTTGATGGGCCTTACCTGCTCATGTAGACAGAAAACATCGGCAAGTCCACCAGGTTCTGAGCCATCATGTTGTCAAATACTGGAGTCACTCCTCCCACAGCCAAGGAGGGGTATCCCAGGCCCAGAATTCCATCAAACTCTGCATCCACAAAGGTCTGGCCTGGCTCTGTGACACTTTCTCCAAACTGCTGGCCAACCACGGTTAGTCCTTCCACCTGGTAGGAGAAAGCCCACAGGAGAACAGGAGAATGGCACAGGGGATTGCTGGCAAAGGGTTTGACTCCTGGATTTTCCTCTGTCTTGAAGCTAATGCCTCTCCTTCCCAACTTTCCTTGACTAAATGAGCACAAAGATGCTTGCTATATTCCCAAAAAACAGGACATTCCAAACCTCAGAAGCCCTCATGCACCTGCCAATCATTGCGCCCCTCCTCAAGAAGAGCCAGTCTCCTGACTTCTAATAACATATATTGGTTTTGCCTATTTTTTGGATTTTATATAAATGGAATCATCCCATATGAACTCTTTGGTATCTGGCTTCTGTCACTCATCATGTGCTTATTGTACACTGTTTTTTTGTAACTTGTTTCAGAAAATTTTGCCTACCTTAAGGTCATGAAAACATTTTCTCATGTTTTCTTCTAAAAGCTTTATTGTTTACTTTTCACATTGCGATCTGGAACCTATATGAAATGTGATAATGTGTAAGGTAGGAATTAAGATTTATTTTTTTCTATCTGGATATTCATATGACCTGGCACTATTTAATAAATATACCATCATTTCCTCCACATACTGCAGTATCTTGTTCAACGCAAGTCAGATGACTGTGTTGATAGTTTTGTATTTTCTGTTCTGTTACATTTGTTTATTTTTTAAATTCTGTGCCAACACCACACGTCTACATTACTGTAACTTTATAATAAATCTTAATATTTACCAGTGTTTTTCTTCAGCAAGATTGTATTGGTGTATTACATATCCATATAAATGTTAGAATCAGTTTGCTAATGTCTAAGAAAAAATGCTGTTGTTTTGATTGGAATAAAATTGGTTGTATAGACCAATTTGAAAAAATTTGACTTTTTAATGAAACAGAGTCATTCAATCTATGAGCATGGTTTAGTTTTCAATACAGGTCTTCTTTTAATTTTATTCATTAATGTTTGTGATTTTTATGCAAGTCTTTTACTTTTATTTAGTAATGTTTGCTATTATCAGAGTAGAGTTCTCGCACATTTTTTGTTAAATTTACATCAAAGTAGCTGATGGTTTTGATAGTATTATAAATAGTGTCATTAAAAATCTATTTGCCATTTGTTTTACTTGCTACAGGTTGAGCATCACAAATCTGAAAATCTGAAACTGAAGTGCTTCAAAATCCAAAACTTTTTGAGTGCCAACATGAGGCTCAAAGAAAATGCTCATTGGAGCATTACAGATTATGGATTTTCAGATTTGGGATACTAAACTGGTAAGTATAATGCAAATATTTCAAAATCTGAAAAAATTTGAAATCTAAAAGGCTTCCGGTCCCAAGCATTTGGGATAAGGATCCATAACCTGTATATATAAATCCAAATGATTTTTTTTGAGACAGAGTCTCACTCTGTCACTCAGGCTGGAGTGCCATGGCATGATCTTGGCTCACTGCAACCTCCACCTCCTGGGTTCAAGCAGTTCTTCTGCCTCAGCCTCCTGAGTAGCTGGGACTACAGGCGTGTGCCACCACGCCTGGCTAATTTTTGTATTTTTAGTAGAGAAATGTTGGTCAGGCTGGTCTCAAACTCCTGACCTCATGATCCACCTGCCTCGGCCTCCCAAAGTGCTGGGATTACAGGCGTGAGCCACTGTGCCTGGCCCCAGATGATTTTTTTTATGTTGACCTCATATCCAGCAACTTCGCTAAGTTCACATATTAATCCCAATATCCTTTCTGTAGATATTTTTGGATTTTCTACTTATGGAATCTTGTCATACATTAATATTGACAGAGTTATTTCTTCCTTTTCCATCTTAATGTTCTTTATTTCTTTTTTCTTGCCTTGTTGCACTGGCTAGGATTTTCAGTACAATGTTGAATAGAAGTGGTGAGATTGAGTGTCCTTGTCTCATTCTTGATCTTATGGAGAAGTCTCTCGACAATTCACCATTAAGTATAAAGTTTGCTGTGGGCTTCTTTTAGATGAAGTCCTTCATTTTTATCAGATTAAGGGAGTTACTTTCTACTCCTAGTTTGCTAAGAGTTTTTCTTGAAGTCATGAATAGATATTGAATGTTATTAACCTACTAATATAATCATATTGGTCATATGATTTTTCTCCTTTTATTCTGTTAAATGATAAATTCCTGGAAAGATGACCCTTGGTATGATCTTTTTATATACCAAAAGATTTTATTTGCTAGTATTTCATTTAGAACTTTTGCATCTATATTCATGAGAGAAGAGATTGGTCTGTAATTTTATATTTTCTTTTGTTATAATGTCCTTTTCAAGTTTCATTATTAAAGTTATGCTGGTTTCATAAAATGAGTTATAAAGTGTTTTTACTTTGTCAAATATCTGGAAGAGTTTGTGAAAGACTGATTTTTTTTAGTGTTGAGAGAATTTATCAGTGAGGCTTTTCTTCGTGGAGTTTTCTTTGTGGAAAGATTTTTTAATAACAGAGTATATCTTTAAAAGATTCACATTTTCTATTTTTTGTTTTTGCATCAGTTTTGGTATGCTGTATTTCTCAAGGCATTTGTTGATTTTCTGAAAATTGTAAAATTTATCAATATAAAATTATTCTTGATAACTTTACTAATGTTCTCTTTCTCATTTCTAACATTGTTAAGTTGTATTTTCTTTCTTTTTTCTTATTTAGTCATGTGAGAGGCTAACCAATTTTATTACTCTTTGCAAAGAGTTCATTCTTGGCTTTGTTAATTTTCTGTACTGTGTGATTTCTCTATTTCATTTGTGTCCCATTCTACTCTTTATTATTTCCTTCCTTTTGATTTCTTTGGGTTTGATTTGCTATTGTTTGTTTACGGTTTGCTCATTTTCTTGTTATTCATTTCTTGAAATAGGAGCTTAGATAATTGATCATTAGCATTTCTATTAACAACGCATGCATTTTAGGCTAAATGGTCCCTTTAAGGGCTGCATCAGCTTCATCTACAAATTTTCACATGTCATATCTTTATTATGTCAGTCAGGGTTTGATAAGAGAAGCAGAACCATTAGGAGGTACTATAGATTATAGATATAGCTATAATGATGTGGATATAGATATTGATTATATGCAACTGTGGGTGCTAGTTAAACAGTGTACTTTAGGATACTGTTTCTGTCCTGATGCTGCAGCAGCAGTCTACAGTTTGCACAGCAGAAAGGGAAGATAGATGTCAAGTGGGAGAAAAAGGGCCAGTTGGAACCCATGAGGGTGAGGGTGGACTGGAACCCACATTGTTCTCTCACTGTCCCCAAGTCTCCAGCCTCAATGATGGGGATGTTATGCAGCAAAAGCTGATGATTTGTTAGAGGTAAGTGCACACCTGGTCCTGGAGCCAGAAAAACTGAGGGAAGGAGCAATGCAGCTGACATTGCTGTGGGCTTGGCTGCTGCCCTACACCAGCCAGGTGAGCCAACAGATACGTGACAAGCTATAGGCTTGAATTCCCCTTTCTATGCTAATTTCAGTCCCTTCCCTGCATCTCAGAGGTTACTGTGATGATCAGTTAGGGATGTAGCCTTCAAAATAGTCATTTTAACTTTTATATATATATTATATGTAATTAGATATATAATATATATGTATATGTCATAATATATATAGAATCTTATATATAACATAATATATACACATTACATATATATTGTGTTAATCTATTATATAATAGATTAACATATTATGTAATATATTATGTTAATCTATTATATAATAGGTTAATCTATTATATAATAGATTAACATAATATATTATGTAATATATTATTACATACAACATATTAATATATTATATAACACATACTATATTATTAATATAATACATTATATCAATTATATTCTATAATATATTATATATTATATAACATATATTAATGTAATGTATTACATATTATATTAATTATATAATATATAACATGTATTATATGATATAATTATGCAATTATTATATACTTTAATATGTTACATATTGTATCTATATAATATATACAGATGGATATATATTATATATACAAATATACTGTATATTACATATATTCATATATGGATATTATATATTATATATTATATATGTAATGTGTGTATACACACGCATACATAGTTCCAATAGAAAATACAGTACATTGTTTTATCTGTATGATATTTTTACATAGATGGTGTTTTTCTGCTTCTGGCATTCTTTCAGTTGATAATATGTCCTACTCCACCCACTCTAAGGGATGTTGATGAAGGCTGTGCCCTGCTGGCCTCGGGAATACCCCAGGGACCAACGTTCACCAGGAGTAGGTCAACCTCTCTTTCTCCCAAGGCCCAGGCATATATTGCTGTCTATAAGCCTGAAAAAGTACCTGGCTCTCTGTCCCCACATTTGTCTGATTCCCATAGTTCTAGGACCCATAGGACTTCAGAGGGAGTCAGAGGGTCAGAGGTCAGAGGGAGTTTGAGGAACAGCTCATGAGCTCAGCACTGAGTTCAGTTTGGACCTTGGCCTTTGGACAACTGGGCTTCTGCCTTGCCTCTGTGATTGGACTCCCATTTCAGACCTTGCCCCCTTATGTTACTGAGTCCAAATCTCTCCCCCTGGTGTGGACTTCTTTATCCTTCAAGACGGAGACGTGGTTTTATCTCCTCAATGCCCTAGAGACTGGAGATCCAGCTGTGCACCCTGCCACCAGGCTTTGTGCACTGGGCACTGCTTCCTGCCAGAGTCCCCCTGTGCTGCTCTCCCCCAGGGCCCAGCGTGCTGTGGAGACTGACCCACTGCCACCATCTCAGGTGGGGAGTGTTGCTTGCCCTTTCTCCTAGAAGTTAGTGCTAACCCCTGTTTCCACCCATTCCTGAGGCAGATTTGAAATGTAAGACCTCTGAATAAGTCTCCCAAGTTTCTGTCCAAGAGAGAAAAAATGAAGGACTTGCACTCACAGAGACTTGGTCGGCTCCAATGATCCCGGACAAGCTCCCGGTTCCATACTGAATGGAGAAAGATTGACCTGGCTGGCTGTATGTGCTGGACTGGGAAGGCTGGAACCTGCTGTGCGTCTCTGGAAAGAAGTGCACTGCTCTTGCTTATGCCATCGGCTCACTGGCTGCATCCCTGCCCTAATGCCACCCAGCCCCACAGCGGCAGGGTCTCTTCCCTCAGCTCTCAACACTGAGTGGGGGCCCCTAGAAGCCTGGTGATGCCCCTCCCTAATGAACAACTACATTTCCCTCTAGCTACAGATGTGGCCTAACTGGGGACCAAATAGCTATCCCTGAGCAAACCTGATTGTCCACAATGACCTCATGAGGCACACCAAGATAAGTGTCATTTATCAGGCGCCAGCCACAGTCCCTGCCACCCATTGTGGGTCAGAGGTTGGCTTCAAAAGAAACTCAGGGATAAACAATTGCCCCAGGAAATTACTCCCAACTTTTCTCCCAACCGATGGACATCTCTAGCCTTGGGGTTTCCAGAGACATTCTGTCTCTGGGACTTGTCCTGTATCGAACAAGACATCTTTCTGTAGCTCTTCTTTTCCAATCCTCACTGAAACTTCTGAGTTACCTCTGGACAAATGGACCCACCCATGCCATTGTGCCCCACCAGCCCCACCTGTGTGCACCAGGAGATAAGGCTACCAAGCCTCCTTGAAACAAGCAGACTATCTACACTAGAACCCGACTCACCTCCCTGCTCAGAAATAACCAATTAAATTAAACTTCCCCTACATTCCTTTGGGTGTTCCAAAGGAAGTGAGTCATTATGTCAAAGATTTCTCTTTTCAATGGCTTTCTTTCTATTAATTCTGATCAGTATGAAAGTTACTCTCTTGGACAGCAGCCACATTTTAGTTCTTCCTTGGCTTTGCTCTATCTCTGCTATAAGCAGTTCCACGGCTGACTCAAAGATGGAGAGTGGAAGCTGGTGTGGCAGGGATGGCCAGTTTCTGGAACCTAAGCCCCCCTTCCCCAGAGTACCAGGCTTGGCCTCCCAGGACTAGCCCCCAGACATTCTCTGCTGGTGCTCCTGGCCCCACTTACTGCAGGCTGGGCTAGTGCAGTACACAGAGGGGACCCAGAGGTTGGAGGAGCCAGTGTCGAAGATGACAGTGAAGTTCTGTGGTGGGGAGCCAATGGAGATAGTGCCGAAGTATTCCATCTGCAAGGAAGAGTGAGAAGGAAAGAGGGTGTGGGTGGTGGGGAGGGACAAGGGTGCTCACCAGGAAGCCAGGGGAAAGCTCCCAGGGGCCAGAGCCTGGGGTAATACAGACTGGAGTTTACAGAGCCTAGGAAGTGGCAACGCTGGAAAATAAAAGGTAAAAGGAGCAGAGAAATGGCCATGAAGGAGGAAATCAAACCAAGCCTCTGGCTACTTCATTTGATTTTACTTGCACTAACCTGATTCTTATAAATACATTGTAGGAGAGGCAGTGGAGGAAGAACCATCTGTTTTACAGACCAGGGAACTGGGGCTGGGAGAGGTTAAGTAACTTGCCTAAGGGTACACAGCCAGTAAGCTGCCCAGCTGAGAGCAGAAGCAGGGGCCTTCAGTGTGGGATGATGCTTTCACTCCCAGCCCTTTCCTTCTGCAGAGAACTCTGACATTTGGGTACATGGGGGCCTGCTTAGCCAACTCCATGGGGACCCAGGGAATCAGTCCCCATGGATCATCATCCAAGTGAAGAAATCCACAATGGCCTTCGGTGCTACTGATGTGGCACTGGCCATGCCCTAATGCTGGGCCTTCCTCCCGCTCCCACCTCTCCCCAGCCCTGACCCCAGGAGGCCTCACATCCAAGTAGTTGATGAGGGGTTCCTTGGCACTCTGGTCCATTGAGCAGGACTCGGTGAACTGGATCATGTCCAAATTATGGGATTTCCAGAACTCAGAGAGCTGGCTCCGTGCCCGCAGCTTCTTCTTGAGGGACGGATGCCTCCTGAGGGGCACCCTGGAGACAAACCCCCATGTAAGCAGGAGATGTACTTCTGCCTCCCTCTTCCCCCCATTCTCGTCCCATTTTCTCAGGGGCCAACTAGAGAAGATGGGGTGGGAGGGGGGGATCTGCAAGACAGCACGCAGGATACAGGTGGGATCAGCGTCCTCTCTGCCACTCAGCCTGCCCGGCCTCATCTCTGCCCTATAGAGTCTTAGAATCTTAGAGTGGAAATGGCTCCCCTCCTGGAGCTGAGGTCTTTGAGATCTAGGAAAATGGGAGATGTGGGGCGGTCTACAGTTTTACATGAACATCACGAAGGGCTGATTTAAAGGGACAGAAAAACTCTTGGGGACAGTGATGGTCAGTCCCCTGGGGAAGTCCTGGGGCGCTTTGAGCTACAAACCACAACTGCAGGTTCCTGCTCTTTTGCAACACAAGAAGACCCCTGGGACTTGGGAAGGCACCTCCGTGGAGGTGGAGGCAGGAGGATGACTTGTTGAGGACTGGAGATTAAGGCCATACACAGGCGGTCACTGGATGAGTCTCTTCCATGCATTGACGCAAGCCCTCAGCTTCTCCTCCTCTTCACCTCCCCATCAGCTTTCCTACCCCAGAGCAGCCCTGAGTTGCAGGGCATGGGACTACCCAGCTGAACACAGTGCGGGGACGTCTTCTCACCTGTGAAGGGATCCTTGGGCCTCTCCCAGCTCCAGGAGCACCAGCAGCAAAAGAAGGAGCGTTTTCATTGTGAGTCCGACCAGCAGCTTCTCCCTTGCCCCCTCCTTTCTTCTCTCCCCGAGGGCAGTGGGAACGGACTTTCCCTAACTCTCAGACCTGCCCAGCCCAGTCTGAGGGCCGAATGATAAGGCCCTGGAGTCATTAGCCATGCCCAGAGTAAATACGGCATGTGGAACAGGGCGTTCCCCCTGCACCTCTCCGTCCCTTTCCCACCTACAAGAGGAATATGAGTCTGCGGGGAGAACTTGGGAGTCCTCTGGGGCTTGGCTTCTCTCAGGGCTTTGGCACCTCCTCTGACCCCAAGAAACCCTGTTAATGAATCCGGAGGGCAGCACATGCCTGGCTGCCTGGAAAGGCCCACTGAACTCTTACTGCAAGTGCTCTAGCTGGAGACTCTGGAGGGGTGGGAGCTGACTTGTCATGGGTGGCAGGATTCTAACTCAAAATATTCGTCAGTCTGTTTTCTGGGTGATTCCTGTTCTCTCCTCAATCTCTCAAATGCTCCAAAGGCAGTTTATCCTTCCCTGGCCCACTTTGAAGCACAAACCAGCACTCCTCAAAGGCCCTGAAATGGGAAAATGTAGCTGCAGATTTATGGAGCCCACTCTCCTGACTCTAAGGACTTGATGAATCTGGGGCTGGGGCTCAGGGGTGTGTGGAGGAGAATGCAGGGGCAGCGAGGGAGGGTCAAGGGGGTCAGCGTCTACAGCAAGTGCCCGCATGAGTCTACTAAAGCGGCCATGACAAAGTACAGGGGGCTTAAACAACAGAAATTTATTTTCTCACTATTCTGGAGGCTGGAAGTCCAAGATCAAGGTGTTGGCAGACTTGGTTGCTTCGGAGGCCTCTCTCCTTGGCTTGCAGATGGCTGCCTTCTCTCTGTGTCTTCACATGGGTCTTCCCTCAGCGTGTGGCTGTGTCCACATCCACATTTCCTCTTCTTATAAGGACGCTAGTCATATTGGAGTAGGGCCCACCCTAATGACTGCGTTTACCCTTAATACCTCTTTAAAGACCCTATCTCCAAATACAGTCACGTTCTGAGGTACTAGGTGTTAGGACATCAACATGGATTTTGGAGGACAAAGTTCAGCCCTTAACAGTGCTCAGGGACAATAGGATCTTCTATCTGTCAAGTGGGACTAAGCGCAGGGGTGGAGAGTGGGTGGGGCTCAGGCCTTAGTTACCGCAGTGTGTGAAACCCCCTCACCATCAGCCTATCTCTGTGGCCACCCGCCTCATAAACAGATGGTGGGGCTTCAGTGCCTGGGGTGGGGATGAAGGGGTTACAGGTAGGAAGACCCTGACCCTGACTCAAGTTAGCCAGGGCAGCAGAGGCCACCACCATATGCCAATGCTTCCAGAGGGCACTAGCTCAGCAGTAGGAAGTAGATGGCCTGCGTTTAGGTTTAGCTCTGCCCTGACCAGCTAGTGTTCTGGAAAATCTCTTAAGTGCTATGGGATCTGCCTTTCATCTCTGAAGTTCAAATGGCAAGCAAACGTGGAGTATGGAGCTAAGCCAAACCCACCCTTGGGTCCAAAAATGTTAAAAAAAGACATCAAAAAGACTTAAGGAACAGCCTAGACCTTTGACCCCTGAACCCAAGGCAACAAAGCCTCTTTGGCATTTCCCAGGAGCCCGTCTTGTTGATCTTTCACTGGGGAGAGTGGTCTAAACCTAGAAGGGCAGCTTGAGTCAGAAGTGGCTAGAAGTGGAGATCATTCATTTTGGCAGTAAACTCTGCCATGTTTTGCCCGTAACTGCTTATTCACCACATACCTTAGTTTTGTCATCTGCCAAATACCTTACCTACATCAATGGGTTTTTAAGGAGGATTAAACAAACAAAATAAGGTACAGATATACTTGTTGTACTGCACTCTGCTTTACTGCACTTTGCAGATACTGCTTTTTTTTTTTAATTGAAGGTTTGTGGCAAACCTGTGTCAAGCAAGTCTATCAGCACCATTTTTCCAATACTGTGTGTTCATTTTGTGTCTCTGTGCCACATTTTGGTAATTCTTGCAATATTTCAAAGTTTTTCATGATTATTTTATCTGTTTTGGTGATCTGTACTCAGTGATCTTTGATGTTACTGTTGTAATTGTTTTGGGGTACCACAAACTGCACCCGTGTAAGACAGAGAATTTAATAAGTGTAATTGTGTGTTCTGATTGCTCCATTGCTCTACTAACTGGTCATTCCCCCATCTCTCTCTCTCCCTCTCTTTCTCTCCCCCTCGGGCCTTCCTGTTGCCTGAGACACAACAATATTGAAATTAGGCCAATTAATAATTCTACAGTGACCTCTAAGTGTTTAAGTGAGAGGAAGATTTGCATGTTCCTCATTTTAAATTCAAAGCTAGAAATTATTAAGCCTAGTGAGGAAGCCATGTTGAAAGCCAAGAAGGGCTGAAAGCTAGACCTCTTACACCAAACAGTTACCCAAGTCATGAATGCAAAGAAAAAGTTCTTAAGGGAAATTGAAGGTGATATTACAGGGAACACACAAATGATAAGAAAGCAAAATAGTTTTCTTGCTGATATGGAGAAAGTGTTATTGGTCTGGATAGAAGATCAAAGCAGTGACAACACTCCCTTAAGTCAAAGCCAAATCCAGAGCAAGGCCCTAACACTCTTCAGTTCTATGAAGGCAGAGAGAGGTGAGGAAGCTGCAGAAGAAAACGTGAAGCCTATGGAGATTTCTGCAAGGTGAAGCAGAAAGTCCCAAAGCAGAAGCTGCAGCAAGTTATCCAGAAGATCTAGCTAAGATCATTGATGAAGGTGGCTACAATGAACAACAGATTTTTAGTATAGACAAAATAGCCTCATACTGGAAGAAGATACCATCTAGGACTTTCATACTAGAGAGAAGTCAATGCCTGGATTCAAATCTTCAAAGAACAGGCTGAATCTTTTGTTAGGGGATAATGCAGCTGGTGACTTTAAGTTGAAGCCAATGCTCATTTGCCCATTCTGAAAATCCTAGGGCCCTAAAAAACTATGCTAAATAGAGTTTGTTTGTGCTGTATCAGTGGAACAACATAGCCCTGGATGACAGTACATTGGTTTACAGCATGGTTTACTGGATATTTTAAGCTTGCTGTTGAGACCTACTGCTCAGAAAAAAAAAAATTCTTTTCAAAATTTTACTGCTCATTGACAATGCAACTCATTGCCAAAGAGCTCTGATGGAGATTTATAAGGAGATAAATGTTTTTATGCCTGCTAACCCAATATTCATTCTGCAGCCCCTGGATCAAGGAATAATTTTGACTTTCAAGTCTCATTATTTAAGAAATGCATTTTGTAAAGCTATAGCCACCATAGATAGTGATTCTGATGGATCTGGGCAAAGTAAATGGAAATCTTCCGGAAAGGATTTACCATTCTAGATGCCATTATGATTATTCATGATTCATGGGAGATCAAACTATAAAATTAAAAGGAGTTTGGAAGAAGTTGATTCCAATCCTCATGGATAACTTTAAGGGGTTCAAGACTTCAGTGGAGAAAGTAACTGTAGATGTGGTGGGAATAGCAAGAGAACTAGAAGTGGAGCCTGAAGGTGTGACTGAATTGCTGCAACCTCATGATCAAACTTGGATGGATGAGAAGTTGCTTCTTATGGATGAGTAAAGGATGTGGTTTCTTGAGATGGAATGTATTCCTGGTGAAGATGCTGTGAACACTGTTGAAATGCCAACAAAAGATTATGAATATTGCATTAACTTGGTTGATAGCAGTAGTAGGGTTTGAGAAGATTACTCCAGTTTTGAAAGAAGTTCTACTGTGAGTAAAATGCTATCAAACAGCATCATATGCTACAGGGAAATCTTCAAGAAAGGAAGAGTCAATCTATGTGGCAAACTTCATTGTTTTCTTAGTTTAAGAACTGGGCGCTGTGGCTCGTGCCTGTAATCCCAGTATTTTGGGAGGCCGAGGCGGGCAGATCACCTGAGGTCGGGAGTTTGAGACCAGCCTGACCAACATGGAGAAACCCCATCTCTACTAAAAATACAAAACACCTGGGTGTGGTGGTGCATGCCTGTAATGCCAGCTACTCAGGAGGCTGAGGCAGGAGTATTAATTGAACCTGGGAGGCGGAGGTTGCAGAGAGCCGAGATCCTGCCACTGCACTCCAGCCTGGGCAACAAGAGTGAAACTCCATCTCAAAAAAAAGAAAGAAAGAAAGAAAGAAATTGTCATGGCCACCCCAAACCTGGAGCAACTACCACCTTGATCAGTCAGCAGCCATTAATGTCCAGGCAAGACCTCCGCCAGCAAAAAGGTTATGACTCCCTGAAGGCTCAGATGATTGTTAACATTTTTAGCAATAAAGCATGTTTTAATTAAGATGTTTTTAGACATAATGCTATTGCACACTTAATAGACTACAGTACAGGGTAAACACAACTTTTGCATGCATTTTGAAACCAAAAAACTTGTGTGATTGACTTTATTGCAATTTTCACTTTATTGCAGTAGTCTGGAACCAAACCCACAGTAGCTCCAAATGATGCTTGCATGTGGAAGTTCTTGAAAAACTGTAACATGTCATGTGAACTAAAGATTGTCACTAAAAACTTCAGTGTTTCAGAAGTGCTGGAAGGGTTCTTACAGACTCTCAAGACAAACCCACTTGTATAGCAGAATGAGAAAACTGAGGCAGAGAGGCAAAGTGATCAGCCCAAGAGCACATGGTTCATTTAGTGGCTGATCTAGGATTAGGACTCAGCCCTCCTGACTTCTAAGCGGGCAAACTTTCTGCTACAGAATTATAGCATCATTATCACTGAACTGTTGAAAGGGGGCTAACCATAACCCCTCCCTCCTTTTCCATCTTTTAGACCTCTCCCTGCATCCCTCTTGCCCCTGTTTACTAAATGTAGAGAGTTTGCCTGGCCCAGGCTTGAGAAAAAGCTGACTGGTCCTTGCAGCTGTGGGCCACCTGACTACTGAGTGGAGCAGACACAGCCTCGACTGCCTGCAAGGAGCCCCTGGGTCTAGCTGGATTTTGGAAAATTTGACAAAGGTTAAGAGCAGGAACACTGGGGATGTTTGTCAGAGCTAATGGGATCTGTCCTCTCCAGAGACACCAGGAACTGAACCTACCCTGGCTGTAGATTACTGGCCTTTTCCAGCAAGAACCAAATATTGCTGTGGACAATTTGAACACTTTCCAAAGAACAAAAGACCTTAGGCATATGTGTGGTTGTCTGTGTGTGTCCTTTGAGCAGAGGGAGAGAGAAGAGCATTTGAGGTGAAATAGTATGATGTGGGGGAAAGTGACACATAGTATAGTCAATGATCCGGTCTCTCTGCATTAGGAGAGGGTCTTTGGAGAGAGAGAGAGAGGGGTGGGGGGAGAGAAAGAGACGCTCAAGAACGTGGATTGGAGGCTGGCTGGATGTAGAGACTTTGTTCCCAGAACATTTGAAAGCTGGTGGTGGTGTCACTATCTAGTGAACTTCTTTCTGGAGCTTCAGCTTCCAGAAAGTAAATTAATAATAAGAGGACATTTGGGAGGCTGAGGTGGGCTGATCACTTGAGGTCAGGAGTTCAAGACCAGCCTGGCCAACATAGTGAAACCTTGTCTCTACTAAAAATACAAATATTAGCCAGGCATGGTGGCACGTGCCTGTAATCCCAGCTACTCAGGAGGCTGAAGCGGGAGAATCTCTTGAACCTGGGAGGCAGAGGTTGCAGTGAGCCCAGATTGCTCCACTACCCTCCAGCCTGAGAGGGCAACAGATGTCTCAAAATAAAATAATAACAATATAAGAGGACAGTTGCTCAGTGCTCTGTGGATAAGTTTTATCAGGGCTCGATAGCTCCTAGAACAGAGTCTGTTACTGTCAGACATGAGCTGGCTCCTGCTCACAGGGGAGCCGGCACCGCAGGATGCACTCCAGGATGCCTGACTCTTGCAACACATTGCTGGTTCAGCACAAACCTGGCCAACTGGGAAATGGCCCAACCTCTTTTGCTTAAAGTTAGGAAATGAGGGAAAATCCACGATGCTGTGTGTGGTACAGTAGAAAGATGTCTGTACCAGGTGAGATGAGATGAGATGAGATGCCTGGCTCCAGTCCTGGCTCTGCCACTAACTGGCCATATGATCGCAGATAAATCCCTTCTCTCTGAATCTAGTTTTGTTGCCTATAAAATGAAGAGGCTTGATTGGGTGACAATATCAAGGAATACTTTGGAAGCATTAGCTCTGTGCTAGGCTCTGAGCTAAGGGACTTACAAGCATTAGTTCATTCAAATCTCTCACCAATCCTATCAGCTAGGTATTGTTTTTAAGCCCATTTTACAGATGAGGTAATTGAGGCACAGAGGGTTTAAGTAACTTGCATAAGGTGCTGAAACCAGGATTCAAACCCAGGTTTGCCTTTGAAGTCAGTGTTCTTAACTGTGGCATTGTATTGGGTCATCTTTGAGGTCTGACATTCTAAAATTTCTTTCTGGAAGAGAAAGGCACCGAGGAATGGGAGAGAGGAAAAGAAGAGAGGGACAGAGAATAATTTCTTGCATGGTAAAAATTGGAGGCCTTCTTTTATTGTAAGAACAAATGGGTGTGTGCATGGTGGGGTGTGTCGGTGAGGAGCTGCATGATGAGATATCTTCTCACTGCATATTTTTCAAACATTTTCTATTTTGCCATCAAGGAGTCTCTCAGCAAGGGAGACTATTGTATTGCCGACAGGAGCAAAAACTCCCACATGTACCTTTCTCCAACTCCCCACCTTCGACACATTCTGAAAAAATAAAATTTAAGGTGCTCAAACCATTTTTTTATTGCCAAAAGAGAGCACCTGGCACTAAAAGCTTACTTTTTCCATGTGTCTTAATATACTTTGGTTTGTCAAAGCCTCTTGTTTTCATGCAACTGGAAATAAGAAAGATTCAATGTCTTCAGTATCTCCCAATGTCAAGGATTCAATTTGTTGGAGTCATTTCCAAAACCACCAGCAATTCTACTCCAGGAAAGTGCCTTTCAGACCAGCCATTGCTACAGCACAGTCAGCAGAGGGCGCAGGCACTGGGAAAGTTTCTCACTTGAATACTGCCTGTGTGTCTTTGTGGCGGGAGAGTATGTGTGTCTGTACCTGTAAGCAGGAAGAGCAGCTTATGCCTCGGGCTTGCGCAAAAGCAGGACTGCACACTAACACCACCATCTGCTTTGCTTGTTACTGAGCCCAGGCTTTGGAAGCAGACAAAGCAAGGTCTGAATTCCCAACTCTGCAACTTAACAGATGATTGCATGACATTGGGGATGTGCCACAGCTTCAGATTCCTTCACTACAGAAAAGAAAGAATGATTTCCTTGCAGAATGGTCTGAAGATTCCATGAGACCATCTTCAGGATGAGTGCTTTCTATATATTACACAGCCCAGTGCTTGACATCAAGTAAGCCCTCATTACGGGTAGCCTGGCTAAATTCCACTTTATGCCATGCACTGCTCTAAGTGCTTTAAATGTAATAGGAAATAGGCCCAGACAGGGAAAGGAATTTGTCCAAGGCCACACAGCAGGTAATCATGGAACTAAGCATGCTGAAGCTCAGGAAGTCTCTCTACAAAATCTGTAATGTTGGCTGGGCACCGTGGCTCACGCCTGCAATCCCAGCACTTTGGGAGGCTGAGGCGGGTGGATTGCTTGAGTTCAGGAGTTCAAAACCAGCCTGGCCAATATGGCAAAACTCCATCTATTAAAAATACAAAAATTAACCAGGCATGGTGGCTTGCACCTGTAGCCCCAGCTACTCAGGAAGCCGAGGCATGAGAGTCGCTTGAACCTGGGAGGCGGAGGTTGCATTGAGCTGAGATTGTGCCACTGTACTCCGGCCTGGGCGACAGAGCAAGACTCTGTCTCAAAAGAATCTGTGATCCTAAACACAACTCTCAGCTGCCATGTATAGTTTACATATTATTGTGTATATTAACAGACTGAAATACATTCTGAAGGTCATTCACACTGATGTGTATTTTAATTGTTCAGGACAGTTGCTGAAGCTTCCACCTGTCCTCACTTCTTACTCTGTGATTAGGGGCTCAACTACTGAAAGGCTACAAAATAAATATACTCTTTGATACATAGTTTCCTTATCTGCCAAATGGAGTTGTTAGTTATTAGAAAATTAAATAAAAGCATATGTGAAAATGCATGACACACAGTAAAAGCTTAATAAATAATTAACATTTTATTATAAGAAGAGAGAGTATACCATAGCAAATATGCCATAAATCTGATTCCTTCCCTCCGTTAGTCTCCATGAGTTTTCTTTTTTAGATTTATAGTCACAGGGGCCTCCCTCTGCAGTGCTCCTTTCTTTAATGTTTTATTTCCTGTACCAGGACTGCCAGACTTTCTGAATCAGTTTCCATCCTGGAACTTCCTCAAGAGCCATCAGGGAAGGATTTAGGCTGTGGCTAGGTAGAATAAAGGCAGACCTTTAATCTCAGGTTCTTGTTTAAGGTGAATTTGTCTCCATTCCTAAAAACTCTTGTCTTGTTCCCAGCCCATTAAGTGCCCTGGAAACCCACAGAAGAAAAACACATATTAAAGATGCAATTAAATTTACGTCTGTTCCAAGACACAGAGACACTCGTCTGATCTTCCTTTCAGGTTTAACAAGCTTCTTTTTTAGGAGAGCCTCCAAATGAAACCCCATTACTGAAGTCTTGGGAAACACCACTCATTCATTCACAGAAAAATCTAGATGCTTAGTTTCATTGATCCTATTTCAGGAACAAAAAGTCTGAGGCCTCAAGAGGGCTCTTCCTCAAAAGGGCAAGACACAAGTATAGGAATCTCAGAGTCTTCCTAACCGCAGATGTGTGCACTGCAATGGCTCAGGCAAGAGACAGTGGTGGCTTAGAATAGAGTGGGGATGGTGGACAAGGAAAGAAGTGGTGGGCTGAAGTTTGTTTTGGAGATAGAACCATCTGGACAGGCTAGCAGATTAGATGGGAATGAAGGAAAGGAAGAATCAGGGATGACTCCTGGATTTGTCTCAGTCTGAGATAAATCTGTCTCTGTCTGAGTCCTGTGTGAAATGCTGCAAGTTCAAGGTTATTTCTGCATAGGGCATTGTTTGTGATAAAAAGCTTGGAAATAGCCAACAATAAGAAATGGCTAAATAATTACGTCTATGCAATGGAATGTGATGGTGCCAGGTTAAAACAATAAAAAAGCTCCAAAGAAAAACATGTAGACCGTATTGTTGACTCGAAAAATGTGGAACAGTATGTATAGTATGCTATCATTTGTATAACATACTAGGTGAAAGTATACATAGCCCCATTTGCTTATATATGAATAGGATGTCTCTGGAAGGATATACCAAGAAGTCGGTGGCATTAGGTACTTTTGGGGAAAAGTTGGTGGGTGAGGACAGGGTGAGAAAGAAGCTTGTTGTCTCCTATTTTGTACTCTCTGAATTTTGAGTCGTGTGACTGTGTTGCTTTATTAGTTTTCTGTTACTGCTATAACAAATGATCACAAATGTAGTGGCTTAAAACAGTGCCAATTTATTATCTTACAGTTCTGTAGCGTAGAAGTTTGACACAGGCCTCACTGGGCTAAAAGAAAGGGATTGGTGAACTGCATTCCTTTCTGGAGGCTGGAGGGGAGACTGTTTCTTGGTCTTTTCTAGCTTCTAGAGTCTCCCTGCAGGCCTTGGCTCATGGCCCCTTCCTCTGTCTTCACAGTCAGCAGAGTGTCTCTGACTCTTCCCCCAAATTCATGTCTCCCTCTGACCACAGAGGGGAAAGGTTACCCACTTTTAAAGACTCCTGTGACTAGATTCAACCCATCCAGATAATCCAAGATAACTCACCTCCAGGTTGTTAACTTAATTACATTTACAGAGTCCTTTTTGCCATGTAAAGTCACATATTAACAGATTCTAGGGATTAGATATGAGCATGTTTTGGGGCCATTATTCTGCCCATCACAATTACTTATTCAAAAACAATTTAAAATGCAATGAAAAAATAGTGACTCCTCAGCTTTTTCATTTGCGCCGTCAGGTAGATAATTTACGGAGTACAGGGATTGAGGCAGCAGGAACAGGTTGGAGGGAGCAGAGAGTCGAGAGGCCTGTTTGAGCATATTAAGTTGAGATGCCAGTAGACTTTTCAGGGGTGATATCAGCTTGACCCTTGAATGTGTGGGTCTGGTGGTCATAGGCTTGTTAGGGCTGGAGATATTAATTTGGGAGATTATCAGTGAATAGAAAGTGGTTAGAGTCATGAAACTGGCCAAGAGCACCCAGAGAGAGTTTGTAGAAGAAGGAGAAGCCCCAGGACTGTGCTCTGAAGACTGCAGGTAGGTGAAGGAAGAAGAGGAAGCCAAGGAGGCCAAGAAGGAGCACCAGTGGGGATGCAGAAAAACCCCATTACCTCCTCCAGGAGGCTTCCCCACGCAGCCTGGATCTAAAGAGCCTCCATCCTACTCCCTAGTTGCCTCTATCACACGCTCTTGTTCATTTGGTTTATAGGATGATCACAGTCCGTAATTCTCTTGTTTTGTTTCTTTGCTTATTGCCTGTCTTTCCCCACTGTATTGTAAGTTTCATGACAGCAGAGCTTCACCCATCTTGATCATTGCTGTACCCCCAGCACCTAGTCCAATGCCTGGCTCAGAGTAGGCACTCAATAAATGTTTGTTGAGTGAATGAGCGAGTGAATGGATGGATGAAAACAAATTTAATTCCTCTGCCCTCAGTCCATAAACAAAGAAAATGGTGCTAAAATGTAAAAGTTAAGGGGGAAAAAAAGTGCAGCTCTTTTATATCCTCCACAGACTGTTCCTCATGTTAGGGTCACATAGGAGTTGTCTACTGAAAGCACCAGGAAGATACCTCTGTTCCGCCTGTGCCACCTTGCTTGAAATCCTACCATTGTCCGGTCATTCCCTGGAGTGAGGCATCACCCTCTTAGCACAGTGCCCACTAGCTAGTAAGCACTCAATACATTTGAGTTCTTCTTTTTTAAAATTATTATTCAGTCTTTAAAAAATGCAAATATCCCTGCGAAAGATGGCCCACAAAGTATTAACTCCTTACTATGAATTCGTGTCTCAGCAGAAATAGCTGAGGAAGAACCTGGTTTTTCCTTAAACTTGTTGTTTCCCCGACCAGCAGCACATAGCTTGGTTTTTGCATTATCTGAGATGAGTCTACAGGGATGGGGTTGCAGAAAGGGGGAAAGGGCTTTCCAGAAAATGCTAGGGAATCTAAAGCAAACTTCAATGTCTGGTTTTGCCGAGGCTCATGCCTGCACAGCATGAAAATTGCTCTACAAGCCACATCAGCCACTGGCTTTTCATTTTGGGGCGGTGTGAGTCTCCCTGTGAGCTGAGCCAGGCAGTGGAGGAAATGAAGAGGCTCTCAAGGGAGGGGCAAGGGAAAGAGACTGGGCAGGGTGGGTGCAGCTGGCAGTGAGAGACTCTGCCTTTTCAACATGGATGGCTCCTCCCGCTGCCGCTGCCGCTCCAGGAGACAGGTAAACATTCTGTGCAGGGTTGAGACTTCTCTTTCAGTTTCTTTCCTACTTGTCTGGAATTTGGGCTCACATAATATAAAGTGGGCACTCTGTAGTCTAAAGGGATTAGAAAGCAAGGCATCCCCCTCTTCCCTTGAATGGTTTTCTAGGGTGCTATATGTCCCAAACCCCCAAATCGATTACATCGTCTGACAACTGCTTGTGTGGACAATGGGAAGGAATATTGTGCTTGGGGTATGTCTAAGGCTTATAGGAAAAGGCTTGAGCTGCAGGTTAAGTATCTTATGATAAGCAGTGTGGGAACCTACACGCAAATGTATATTGCTGGGTGAATGTTCTCCATCTGTTCTAGATCCCTAACTAGATACAGAGTCCCTTGAGGGTAAACCCATGCTCTAATCTAGACTTTTTGGTCCCCCAACACCCAGCACAGTGGATGGACATGGGGATTTACCTACACTTCTACACCTGTGCTGTCCAGGATGGTGAGAACTTGAATTGAAGTGTACTCCAAGTGTAAAATATACCCTGATTTTGAAGACTCAGTAGGAAAAAAGAACAAAAAATACTAATAATTTTTAAATGAGAACAAGTTCATATAATAGCATTTTGATATATTGGGTTAAATAAAATGTACTATTAAGATTACTGTTACATGCTTGTTTTTACTTCTTAAGTGCGGCTACTAAAACATTTTAAATTACACATGTGGCTTGTGTTGTTTCTACTGAACATCTCTGGTTTATATTGCGCTGGCCTCCCCTCTCCCATCCTTTCTTGCTCCCTTTAAACTCTAATCAGACTAGAGATGCCCTTCTTACTGGGCGTCTAAAGCCCTCGGAATCTTTTATTGGTCACAGCAGGATCTCCTGGGTATTTTGTATTTGTCCAATCACTGATATTCCTTAGCAAATGTGTTGATCATGTCATTTAAGCCTTCCCTATAATTGCACCCTTTGTTCTAAGGTAAAGAAATTCAGGCTGGGTGCAGTGGCTCATGCTTGTAATCCCAGCACTTTGGGAGGCCGAGACAGGTGGATCACCTGAGGTCAGGAGTTCAAGACCAGCTTGGCCAACATGATGAAACCTCATCTCTACTAAAAATACAAAAATTAGCCAGGTGTGGTTGTGCACGCCTGTAGTCCCAGCTACTCAGGAGGCTGAGGCAGGAGAATCGCTGGAACCTGGGAGGTGGAGGTTGCGTGAGCCAAAATCAAGCCACTGCACTCCATCCTGGCTGACTAAGACTTCATCTCAAAAAAAAAAAAAAAAGAAAAAGAAAAAAAAAAGAAATTCAGGCAGCAGCAATTAGGAGAGGGATTGACTTTAATTGAGCATCTAAGTTACCAGCTTTACAAGTGTTATCTTCTTTAAATTTATTTTCATTTGGCTAGATAGGCATTGTTTTCTCTGCTTTTTTCAGATAAAGAGACTAAGACTCAAGAGCTCTGATAACCTGCCCCACCCCAAATCATCCACCTAGTAAGATGTGCAGGGTCAGGGCTTGAACCCTGGTGCACCTGACTCAAAGAGCAAGTTTTTCCCCCACCAGTAGCACATGGCAGGCAGGTTTTTCCCCCACCAGTAGCATGTGGCTTCATATTTTGCATAATTTGAGATGAATCTACAGGGGTCCCCCCACTCATTTGTGTGTTCTATTATACCTGCCTATGGAAGGGGCTCATTAAGGACACCTTGTATTATTTATTCTTTATCACAGATTTCTAGATTGTGCAAGGAACAAGTCCATCCAGGTCTTGGAGCACCTAGGTACATTCTAGTGCTGGCATGGTCCCTAATTTACTAAGTGCCTAGGACAAGTAGCTTCTCATCTCTATAAAACAAAGAGAACTTTTACAGTTTGTGATCCTAAGCCTGTTAGGTGGGGAAAGTGGAAATTGAATTAGGCTGCCTTTGTCGTTTTTTGATTGTTTTAGAGACAAGTTCTCACTGTTGCCCAGGCTGAAGTGTCGTGCTATTTATAGGCATGATCATAGCTCACTGCAGCCTCCAACTCCTGGGTTCAAGCAAGCTTCCTGCTTCAGCCTCTCAAGTAGCTGGGACTACAGGTGTTCACCACTGCACTTGGCTGGCCTTATAGCTTAATTCCTAATGGGTTACACCTGGAATTAGAGGATTTTTTTTCTAAATAAGAATCTTTTTTAAAAAAAAATCTGAGAGCCTATTATTTCTTCATGTCAAAATTTCTGTTGAATGTGCTGAACATTAAGTTCCAGACAAGTGAGTCCATGTTGTGTGGGTGGGCAGAAGACCTGAAGTTCATTTTCAAGGATTAGAGGGCTTTTGAAGGCTGCCCACTCAGCAGGCGGTTTCCAGAGCGGCTTCACGCTGGTGCATGTCTTAGAAGTTGCGATCTGGTATCATTGCTCTAATAGCTAGAAATCCTCATTACCTGTTTAGCGGATCGGAGAGGAGAGCCAGATCCTTTCATAAGCCTGCTTATTAATCCTCCCTGAAAAGCCATGTTATTAGAGCAGCATCAAAGCTGGGACGCCCTTAGGAGCTCCCTCTTTAAGACTCTGACAGCCTCTTCCTTTTTCAAAACTGGATGTAAAGCATGAATAGAGTCCAGCCTGGGGCTCTTCCCAGCTGTGCTCATTAATCCAAAGGCAGTTAAGCCCCCATATCCACCGCTCCCCCCAACTCAGGCTTTACCGAAATTTCTTTATTCAATGCCTGCTGATTGCTGCTAAGAAGGCCTATGAAGATTAATTTTCCAAATGAGTTGCCATTTCTTGTTCCAAATCCTTGGAGGGTAAATTTAAGTGTCCCGTAGTTAGATCTTGCAAATGGATTTCGGGCTGAATAGTGATTTTTATCTGTTCGAGCCATACATTAATTCACTTCAAGTCTTTGAGACTTGATGTGTAAAAAAAAAAAAAAAAAAAAAAAAAAAAAAAAAAAAAAAACATGGGTGAGGGAATACATCCTTTATCTACTTCCCTTTGAAATTTGGTTCTGGGATTTGAAGGTGGCATTAGGGAAAAGGGACAGAAAGAATTGTTAGTAAGGCCTTGAGAACCTATTTCTTAGGCATGTCTATTACCAGCAAGGGCCTGCCTGTTTTTCCATGCATCCCCCGACTACTCCTAACACCGTGTAGCTGTAAATAAAAGGAGGAAAAACATTTCATATGAACAAGGGTCCGATTGAGTTACTTCTGGAAAACAGACAAACTCTCCCAGATCTTTCTTCTTTTTTGTGTGTGTGGCAGAGGGGGAGACGGAGTCTCACTCTGTTGCCCAGGCTGGAGTACAGTGGCGTGATCTTGGCTCACTGCAACCTCCGCCTTCCGGGTTCAAGAGATTCTCCAGCCTCAGCCTCCTGAGTAGCTGGGATTACAGGCTCCCGCCACCACAGCCAGCTAATTTTTGTATTTTTAGTAGAGATAGGGTTTCACCATATTGGCCAGGCTGGTCTTGAACTCCTGACCTCGAGATCCACCTGCCTTGGCCTCCCAAAGTGTTGGGATTACAGGCGTGAGCCACCGCACCTGACCTCTCCAAGATCTTTCAATATGTCAACAATGAAGATTGTCAAGGCATATATGTTACCTTTAAATACATTTTTTTTCCTGTAAAAATCCATAAGAAAAGACCAATGGAGGGTAACTTACCCTTGAGCAGCTTTAATGGGAAGAATAAGCTAGAGATGTTTTTCTGTAACTGCTAAAGCTTGTTATTTATTCCTCCTCCAATCCCCAAATCCACGACCTTTGAAAACAGGAGGTGTGTCTGAAAAAACAAGGCAAAAATGACCTTAATCCTGACAAGGTTGTAAGGACATATTATCACCCTAGGGAACAGTGTGGCACTTTTAGAAACTGCTGAGGGAGATTTACGTAAACTTGTGATTAGGCTGAGAGCCTTTCAAAGCAGGGAGTACATAGTAGGCACTCAGTTAATGCAGAATAAACAGGAAGTGGTGAGGAGCCAACTCTTTGCTGACTTGCCATTGTTGCTGGGCCGTGTCACTTGCTCCTGAAGTGGCTGCAAGGGTTCTGCCTCCACTGAAGCACACAAGTGCCCATTCTGTGGAGGGAAAGCCAAAAGCCCTTTCCTTTGGCTTTGCCCATGTGGCTTCAGGGCTTGAAATCCTAAGGGATCCAGAGTGGCAGTGCAGTCCAGGGTGTGCTGGGTCGGCAGTGAAGATGAGGAAGAGGATGGAGAAGGGGGATGGAGAGAGGATAGTTCCTGGTAGGGCACACACTTTCACTGCCCCCCAAAAGGCACTGCAAGCCCTGGGTGGGAGGCTTCTGGGGGAAACGGCTGGATGGTGGACAGCCCTCCTCCCTCTGGGTGGTCCAGTGAGTTCTTCCTCAAAGTGGCACAAAAAAAAAAAAAAAAGAAAAGAAAAAGAAAAGAAAAACAAGCTGGAATGTCTGTCGAGTGATGGGAGTGATGGAAAGTAGGTCAGAGAAGGGAATGAGGGGTGAGAGGATCTGCTTTCACTTGCTCTCTTTCCTTTACAACCCTCCCTTTTACTTTACAATTTACACGTGTTTAACATCTACTCTGCACAAGGCTTTGATTTTCAAAATAAGCTACATATAAAGTGACTCCAGCAAGATTCAGGCGCTGAGTGCAACAGATTAAGGGGACATTTACTGAGATGGGCTTTAAAATAGAATCCACTAGGAGATTCTATTTTAAATGTAGAGATAATCTAACCCTTGCTCATCATGTATCAAAATAGAGCCACTGCAGAAAAAAACAAAAAACAAAAAACAAAAAACAAAAACAGGCTCATTGCAAAGCCTCTTCACTGACCTACATTAAAAGTAGCAGGCATTACTAGAAAGAGATCGGAGTGGCAAGATAAATTATGAGCTCTGTTAGGTGCAAGAAGAAGAGATGCTCTGTAAATAGAAAAAAAGAAAGAAGAAGAAGAAAAGAAAAAAGAAAAGGAAGGAAAAGAAAAGAAATCTCCAAGGGTTGTAAAAAGAAGTTGTTTAACTGTCAGGAGAATTTTTTTTCCCCAGGTGCTGCATTCACAGGCAACTTCCATTATTCCCAGGCTTCCTTGGCAATTCCTTTCACCTCTCAACACTTGTTTTGAAAAAGTATCTTCACTTTTGAAAACTTGTTTTCTCAGTACTGGAGAGCTTAGCGTTTTCAACTCAGTCTTCCCCCTCTCGATCTCCTAATTCCCATTCTCTCCTTTCTTCCTAGACATGTCCTCTCTTTGGTTTTCAGCCTCTGGGAGGCAGACACCGCTAGGGGAGGTCAGTTCTCTCTGCAGCCTGCTCGTTTTAAAATTTTTTCTCTCCTCTCCTCTCATCCTTCTCTGTTTTAGCACAATATATAGTCACTGTAGAAAAATTAGAAAACAGGCCAGGTGCAGTGGCTCACACCTGTAATCCCAACACTTTCGGAGGTGGGAGGATTGTTTGAGCCAAGGAGTTTGAGGCCAGCCTGGGCAACATAGGAAGCCCTCATCTCTATTTTTTTTTTTTGAGACGGAGTCTCGCCCTGTTGCCCAGGCTGGAGTGCAGTGGCACGATCTGGGCTCACTGCAACCTCAAGGTATCTTGAGGTATCAAGATTGTTTCTGGGTATCAAGGTTGTTTCTCAATTGCTGCTGGTGTAAATGACACAGTAGTTCCCTACTTTACCCCCTGGATCTTTGCACACATTTTCTTAATTATGTCATTGGGATTAATTCCTCTAAGTGGAGTTGCTGAGTCTAAGGAGTATGGACATTTTCATTGCTTTTTTTTTTTTTTTTTGAAACGGAGTTTTGCTCTGTTGTTGCCCAGGCTGGAGTATAATGGCGCGATCTGGGCTCACTTCAACCTTCACCTCCCGGGTTCAAGCAATTCTCCTGCCTCAGCCTCCTGAGTAGCTGGGATTACAGGTGTGCACCACCACACTCAGCTAATTTTTGAATTTGTAGTAGAGACGGGGTTTCACCATGTTGGCCAGGCTGGTCTCAAACTCCTGACCTCATGATCTGCCTGCCTCAGCCTCCCAAAGTGCTGGGATTACAGGCGTGAGCCACTGTGCCTGGCCTTCATTGCTTTTTGATACCCACCACCAAATTGCCCTTCAGAGAGATGGTAACAATTTGCCTTCTTGCTAGAAAGTGTCTGTCTGCAGAACACTTCACTGGGCTGAGCATTTTAATTATTTTTTAAAAATAGTTTCAAATTGTTTTAACTTAATTTATTTGGTTTTTAGAGTTGGAACTTCTTTAAAGACATAGATAAATTTGGCCATCTTCATGTGTCTTTCTCCCAATAACAGCATTACAGAGCATCAGTTAGGTGCAGAGACTGGGCAGTGCACCCGTGTGCAAAGACAGGAGACACGAATCTTCCCTGAAGGAGTGACAGTCTAGGGAGGAAGGCAGACTGCAGGTGAGGTAACAGGTAACAGCTCTGTGTGAGGAATGCTATGATTGCAGGCACTGTGTGGGAGCCTCTTGCAGCCCTCCCGTGAGGGAGGGGGAGGCAGGGTTGGGGCGGAGTGTGCACAGGCAAGAACAAGCCTGGGGCACCGAGAAACTGCCAGAAGCCCAGGCTGGCTGCAGCATAAAGTGTAAGAGAGCACGGCTGGGAGGTGGGCAGGACTCAGATCATGGCAGGCCTTTCATGCCTGAGTAGGCAACCACTGTCAGGCAGGTTCACACACAGTAATCACATGCACGAGGTAACATGCGTGGAAGAGAACAGATGCTTTGCTAGCTGTCCTCTTGCCGCAGTCACTTTTTAACTAATCACTAAAAGGTGCTGGGTTACTATTGACCCCTACAGCACCTGTGTGGGATAAGGAAGGGGTACCCCAATGAAACAAACACAAGTTGGTTCTATATGAATTATATATATAAAATTATTAAATCCAAGATAATAGAAAATTAGTGTTTTTAGTCACAATACTCAGGATTTGAAAGTCTCTGGGATGTAACAATTCATCATAAGATAGTTTTAGTCATAAAATAATTTTCATGGGGACAACATTTTCTATGTCAATTTTAATGCCTGCTTGTTCCAGTTTTTTTTTTTTTTTTTTTTGAAATGGAGTCTCACTCTGTCACCCAGGCTGGAGTGCAGTGGCGCAATCTCGGCTCACTGCAACCTCCGTCTCTCGGGTTCAAGTGATTCTCCTGCTTCAGCCTCCTGAGTAGCTGGGATTACAGGTGTGCACCACCATGCCCCACTAATTTTTGTATTTTTAGTAGAGATGGTGTTTTACCATGTTGGCCAGGCTGGTCTCGAACTCCTGACCTCAGGTGATCTGCGCCCCCTCGGCTTCCCAAAGTGCTGGGATTATAGGCATGAGCCACTGCACCCGGCTCAGTATCTTATTTTCTATAAAAATGGTCACTAGAATTGATAGTCTTTCTTGTGACATTCTTGATAAGTAGCTTTTTATAATTGTTTTAAAAGTATCTACATTTTCCACTGCTGGCTGATACTACCAAAGTTAATGTATCCTAAGAGCTAGGATGGTTTTAGGAAAATGTGTCTGGTATATTATTACTGAAAATAAATTGAGGCATTTCATGGGAGGCAATTAGATTTTATTAATCTACTTATTTATTTATTTTTTGAGACAGGGTCTTGCTCTGTCACCCAGGCTTGAGTGCAATGGCACGATCATGGCTCACTGCAGCCTCAACCTCCTGGGCTCAAGCAATCCTCTGCTCTCCGCCTCCCAAGTAGCTGGGACTACAGGCATGTACCAACATGCTGGCTAAATTTTGTATAGATACAGTGTTTCACCATGTTACCTAGGCTGGTTTTGAACTTCTGAGCTCAAGCGATCCTCCTGCCTCCCAAAGTGTTGGGATTACAGGTGTGAGCCCAGCCATATCAACTAGATTTTAGAAAGCGACTTCAGGATTTTAGTTCCTCTTACACTAATGCTTCATCAGTATCACTCTTCCTCCTATGTTTCTCAATTTCAATTGTATATTTTTAATGGTTGCAGAAGCTCATATTTGTCATAATTTTTCAATTTATGCATGTCATCTAGAATACTGAAAAGACCTTGAGATATTCTTTATTATAAGCCTCTCTTTTAAAGAGATATTATTGCTTCCAATATAGAAAAAAACTAATTTTGCTATTGACCTTCAGATTGTAGAGGATTACAGGTGTGAGCCACCTCACCCAGACAGGAATTTTTAATATTTTATTCACTATTGGCTTTAAAGAATAGGCAACCTGGCCGGCCGTGGTGGCTCACGCCTGTAATCCTGGCACTTTGGGAGGCTGACGTGGGTGGATTACCTGAGGTCAGGGGTTCGAGACCAGCCTGCCCAACATGGTGAACCGCCATTCTCTACTAAAAATACAGAAGATTAGCCAGGTGCAGTGGCGTGTGCCTGTAATCCCAGCTACTTGGGAGGCTGAGGCAAGAGAATCACTTGAACCTGGGAGGCGGAGATTGCGGTGAGCCGAGATCAGGCCACTGCACTCCAGCCTGGGCGACAGAGCAAGGCAGCCTTAGAATCTTTTGGGGACCTATGCTGAAATCCATTAAGTTTGTCATAAATTTTTTTCATCTTTGTTGTATCTGCTCCCTCAAATCATTATAGCCTATATTCAGTGCTTCTGTTGGTGATGGTTGTGGTCAACCAAAAACCTAAATAATCCTTCTCCAGCTGTATCATTTACTGTAGGGAAAAAAATTAATGTTTACATATAGATATATTTGCATTTTGAAAATGTACAAATCTAAAAATAATTGTCAACTGTTCCACGTGGCTTACATCAGGAAATGTACCTCAAGTTATTTAACTGTGTGATATTTAGCACTTCTTACAAGATTCAAAATAACTTCAGTCAACAAATCTGCTATATTTTAATCATTTGGTTTTGCTTTTCATCTGCTACATAATGTGTAAATGCTATTTGGTGTTTATATATAGTATATAATATTTATATATAGTATATAATATTTGGTATATATTTGGTGTTTATATATAGTATATAATATTTGTACAATAATATACAAGTATATGTTTATATAAACAAATATATATTGTATATATACAAATTATTGCATATTTGAAACATACAATATATATTTGTATACTGCTGTAAATTCTATTAAGCTTCTATGCTTTTCGTAAATGAAGAAAATTCCTGTTATTATACTGCTTATACATTTTTGTAGATGATCCTCTGAATGCTAGATATTGTCTTGCCAAAACAGAATTGAGTTTTTTTGTTCAATGTAATATTTTCCTCATCATATAGAATCTGTTTTGCAGCATTAATAATTATATATTTCTAATCAGATTTGAAATTTGAATACTTAGCATTCCTATTGATGTTTATTTCAGATTCTTCATGTTTACAAAAAAATGTGCCAAGTGCTGTACAATCTTTGCATTCTTTCCCATTTTCCAGCTGATTTTTTGTTCTCAAAGAGCTGGCAAAATACAGAGTCCTTGGAAGTATAATAAAATAATCAGAATCTAGTCATTATTATTTCTCCTCACCATTTGGAAAAAATTTGTGTCCATTATATTTCCAAAAACTTCCAACCTGTATTATCTTTTGTAAAGATAAAAAATTTTTTACTTGAGGTGAATAATTTTCAGCAAGAGTACATCTTTGTTTCCTATTCAAACTACTTGGCCATGTGTTTGAATTCTTTGCATTTTTAAAGCTACTTTTTTTTAGATTCATCGATTATTTCTGACAATGGAACTAAAAGGTAAATTCACATCTCACATTTCTGTGACACATTCACTGAAACAAACAGCCCTAAACTCTCTATTTCTCCCTAAATTTATTCAATAATCCAAATAGTTTTACTTTACTTTCTATCTAGACAGCTTTTCATCTTCTAGTTTTAGTTTGATTTTTTTTTCTTATCAGTATCCTGGGAGAAATAATATTATATTAGCTTATTAAATGTTAAAGAAATATTATTAAGGCCGGGCATGATGACTCATGCCTGTAATCCCAGCACTTTGGGAGGCTGAGGCGGGTGGATCACGAGGCCAGGAGTTCAAGACCAGCCTGACCAACATGGTGAAACCCCATCTCTACTAAAAATACAAAAATTAGCCAGGCGTGGTGGCACATGCTTGTAATCCCAGCTACTCAGGAGGCTGAGGCAGGAGAATAGCTGGAACCCGGGAGGCGGAGGCTGCAGTGAGCTGAGACCATGCCACTGTACTCCAGCCTGGGCATCAGAGCGACACTCTGTCTCAAAAAAAAATATATATATATATATATGTGTATATATCTATATACATAATTAAAACATAATAGTAGTTTATCCTAGAACTTAAAACTTTAAAAAATATATATAATAAGCCATGAAACTTTACCAGCAGTTAGCTTTTCTCCTGAAGAAATTTTCTTTAACAACCCATAAACAATAGCTATGATACAATTCACAATTCATGATATAATAGTCTCTAATTTATGAATATAAAATAATTATTTTATGAATATATAATTGCCTATGATCATTAATTACCACAAAAGTGAGTTATGTAATAATAAAAATCCGTAGATCTAAATTAGGAATTCAGAGCTACCATTCAGGCAGACAATATGAACTGTAATGCAAAACTTCAAATTTAGCCAATACACAAATACTAATACAGGATTTAAAAAAAAATTAGATAAAAATCAAAACAAGAGTTGGAAAACAACTCCTTGTTTGGAAGCACTAGTTATTGTGGCACTCGTTACTTAAACCAATAAGGTCTTTGTCAAACACTCTCTGCTTCAGCTTATGAAGTAAATGTCAACCCTGTTAGAAAATCTATTTCCATCTGAAAGAAAATTGTCATAAAAAAGGATCTTTGTTAGAGAAGACATTTTATTGTTATTTGTCAGAAAACTATTTTAATAAGAATATGTCATCTACCTTTAGAGTTAGCAGTTAAATAAAAAAGTGAAAAAAATTCAACATAATGATGTCTGTGATGTGCATAGTTTCTGTCTTTCTTTTTTTTTTTTTTTGAGACGGAGTTTCACTCTTGTTGCCCAGGCTGGGGTCCAATGGTGCGATCTTGGCTCGCTGCAACCTTCACCTCCCGGGTTCAAGCGATTCTCCTGCCTCAGCCTCCTGAGTAGCTGGGATTACAGGCATGCCCCACCACGCCTGGCTAATTTTTTATATTTTTAGTAGAGACAGGGTTTCTCCATGTTGGTCAGGCTAGTCTTGAATTCCCAACCTCAGATTATCTGCCCACCTTGGCCTCCCAAAGTGCTGGGATTACAGGTTGGATAGTTTCTTTAGATGTCATGCCCTTGAGCAATAAACAACCTGAACAACTGTCCTTAGCTACTCCAAAATTTATGTGGTTATTACAGCTAATAAAGATGATATAGAAACAATCTGTGTAGTAAATGAAAGGTAGTTTAAGGGATTTTGAGACCTCTGTTTGGATGCTGGTTTTGTTGTTTGCTAACTGTGACCTGGAGCAATTCACTTATCACTCAGTTACCTCAGCTACAAATGGGGATAAGTATGCCTCATCCTTTAAACTGCTGACCGGAGGTCACACGAGATATCCCCAGTTCTGAGTCGTCAACGAAATCGTAAGATGTGCATAAGGTTTCCATTTTGCACTTGTTAAAAATGTGCTTGCGGCCAGGTGCGGTGGCTCATGCTTGTAATCCCAGCACTTTGAGAGGCCGAGGCCGGTGGATCACTTGAGGTCAGGAATTTGAGACCAGCCTGGCCAACATGGTAAAACCCCGTCTCTACTAAAAATACAAAAATTAGCTGGACATTGTGGTGGGTGCCTGTAATCCCAGCTACTCGAGAGGCTGAGGCAGGAGAATCACTTGAACCCGAGAGGCAGAAGTTGCAGTGAGCCGAGATCACGCCACTGCACTCCAGCCTGGGCGACAGAGTGAGACTCTTGTCTAAATAAACAAATAAGTAAGTAAAATGTGCTTGCTTAAAAAAAATTTTTATTATGTTTTTAAATTGAATGAAGGATATGTGCAGAGCCAGTAAAGGATGGTAATATGGGATCAGTTCCTGTTAAGTCACCTGTGGACAGTTCTGGCTTCACATGTTCACTGGTGCTCTTTTGTAGGAGCCCAAGAGGCTGACAGTTTAATTTTCTTAGGATGCCAAATGTTAAGACACCTGTTTGACGTTTGCAAATAAGCTGCTGTGCAAAATGAAAACCTGATGGTGATCTTTAAAGCAACCCCAACCAATAAATACCTCTGTAATAAACCTCAAGAGGACGCAGGGTTTCTATTTGGAGAAATGAAATTCTGCAAAAGCAACCAGAAAAACATTTAAAGTCCTAGAAATGGTGAGAGTATATGGCTCCACTCGGTTACGGCAGCACATCTGTGGCCAGCCTGAAAAAGAGCAAAGGGAGTGTGTCCAACTTCTCATTCATTCAATGAGCATTTATTGAGGGCTGCTGTGTTCCAGGCACTGGCCTAGAAGCCGGGGAGATAAGTGAAATCAGACATGATCTCAGTCCACTGGGCTCTTGAAGTTCATGAACTGTCTTTCGTGCCCTCTGTCTTCCCAGGTTCTGTTCCTCCCTCCTTCTGCATCCTAGGTGACAGCCTTCCTTTCACCCTCAGGTGTACAATGCTCCCTCTCTTAGCAGTGATTTCAGATGTTCATCGAAGGAAAAATGGCTGGATATTCCAACTGCCATGCCTTCACTACAAGCACCCTCCCATCTGGTATATCCACAGCCTCAGCACTGCCATAGGAATCCTTCCTACACATCCGTGACCACAACAAATGCCACCTCCTCCATGTAGTCTTCCCTCGTCACTAAAGTTAGAAACAACCTGCTCCTCCTTTCTGATCCAATAGCCCTTTCTTTGTACATCTTTTTAGCTTTGATTATACACCTACCTTTTGTTACAGCTGCTATGGTTGCCGCGGATATTTTCCTCGCTAAATTGGGGTGGGGGGTGAGCGTGGGGTAGCACTCTCTGAACCCAGGGCCCGTGTCTCATTCTTCTCTATCCTTGTAAGCTGTCTCACGCTGCTAAGGACATACCATATGCTACAGAGAAGTTTGACTGGATTGGATTTTTTTTTCTTTGATTTTAGCTACCCAGAATCAGATTGATCAATCCCCCTAGTGGCATTCTTACATCATGGGTCCACGAACTGCTCTTATGTTCTATTTATTTCATATTTTTGAGTCTTTGTTCTCCATTTCCCGTCCGCTCCACCCATCCCACCCCACTCCTGTTATAGACACACTCTCTTGTTTTATTAAAGTGTGACCTTCGAATCTATCTTCCATAATGTTATTTGCACACTTGTGTAAGCTTGAGTGATACTTGAGATTGTTGGGATTGAATTTGCCTTTGGCTGAGGGAATGAAACACCTCCACTGGAATTTCAGGCACCAGCACCTGCAAGGAAGTTTTTTGAGGCAGTGGCTCTTGGAATCACAGCAGGAGGTAGTCAGCAGCTTAGTCCAGGGGCGGCGGACTTATCCAGCTTCCTCTTCCGCTTCTTCTGCAGGCTCCCCCAACCTCAGAGCCTCCTTGTTGCCTCATGCCTGGACTTTGCCCCTCTGGTAGAGCCTTTCTACACAGCCGCTGCACTGCCAGCCAGCAGGCTCCGGGGGGAATTCTTGTGTCCAAGCAATTGCTGTCCTCTTGACACATCGCTATTTGAGAACACCCAATCTGTTCCTCCTGAATCTTTTGGCTTGCACCCCTGGATGTAGCATAGCACACTCTTGGCAGATAAGGCAAAATGCTCCTCTCTTGCCCTATGGTGAAGAAATGCCATGGGTCCTTAGATCAGCAATTCTCAAACTCTTTGGCCTCCAGACCCCTGTACACTCTCAAAAAGTACTAAGGAACCCAAAACGCTATTGTTTATGTAGTTTATATCTATTCATATTGACCATATCAGAAATTAAAACTAAGAAAATTTAAAAATATTTATCTAATCCCCTTAGAAAATAGTACCAAAGCCATTACATCTTAAACATAACACTTTTTATGAAATATAACTATTTCCCAAAGCATGAAGAATTTAATGAAAAGAGAAGCACTGTTTTATGCATGTGCAAATCTCATTATTCATACCTAGCTCAATAAAAGACAGCTGAGTTCTCAGGTCTGCCTTTGCACTCAGTCTCATGCCATACCACATGTCACATAGACTTTGGGAAACTCCACTGTATGCTTGAGAGAAACTGAGAGTGAAAAAGGCAACTAGTATCTTAGTATTATTAAGAGAGTGGTTTTGACCTCATGAACCCTCTGAAAAGATCTCTGGAACCCCCAGGGGGTCCCTGGACTACACTTTGAGAACTGCTCCCTAGATCATTGGTTTCTTGATGACAAGGCCTTTTTCTATTCATCCTTACAGACTGGGTTATTTATTTATTTATATTTATTTATTTATTTATTTAAACTGAAAGACCAGTGTAATAGGACAGACTGGGCTTTAAACAGACTATGTAGTTGGCACTCAGTAAACTTTGCCTGAATTGTTTGGAAATGTCTGTGTCATGAGGGTTTATCGCTCCATCATCAGCATCCAGGGACATGCTATACTCACTCTAGTGATGCTGTTATTGCTGAAGGCGTTTGGATTCTCCTTGGAGGTCGGCCTTTAGAGAAATTGGTAGTTCTGTTGAATATCCTCAGTGATGTCATATCTTTGTTCTCTGAGGAGTGCTTTGATTTTTGGAAACAGCCAGAGTGAAATCTGGATTATAATATGAGTAGTCAAATTGGGTAACACTGTATTTTGGATTTGTAAAAAGGAATACTGACTTCCTAAAACTGGGATGGCAGATCTACTTTAATGGCCATTTCTCTAATTTTACACACATATTTACACCTGTGCAAATGATGTTTGTTGCAGTTTAATAATTACATCATCATTTCAAGTGTAAAAAGTGGAAACAATCTAAATTTACTACTAGATGACCAGTTAAATAAACTGTGAGCAACCATAGAACGGAACACTCTGAAGAGGAAGAAAGGAATGAGAAAGTTCTGTATGTATTAATAATAAATTAACTCCTAGATATATTAAGTGAAAAAGCAAAAGGCAAAACAAAGTATGTAGTACACTGTCATGTGTAAGGAAGACGCCTGTATGGTGAGTGTGTTTCTGTGTGTCTGTGTGTTTGCTCATGTACACATAACGTACACAATAAACTGGGCATGCTGGTTTCCTCCAGGGAGGAGAACTAGATGGCTGGGGTCAAGAGCAGATGAGCAGCTTTTCCAGGACTATCCTTTTGTACCTTTTGAATTCTAAAACCATCTGAATGTGACCTAATGAAACAAACACTTCAAAAGTCCCAAACTGAAAAGGTGATGATGTCCTCCCCTTACAAAATTAAAAATAAAAACAATTTTAACACTTAGAAAACCTATTCTCTAAAAGAATTCTCTGTATTTCCTGGCCAATAACACAATTGTTAGAAGAAATGTACAATGTACCAGGTGACATGTGGAAGGGGACAACAGAAGGGGGCAATGACAGGCACTTGTGAAAACATTTGCCTTTTTCTTGATCACGTCTTGTTCCTCTTCTCATCCTTGCTTCATTTCACAAATAGGGGAACTGAGTCCAAGTAAGTGAAGTGACTCATCCGTGCCACCTGGGCTCTTGGTTCCAATGCTTGCCTTGTTAGGGGATTTCCTGACTGCTCCTGCAGCTCTCTTTGCTAGAATGTGGTAAGAGTTGGGGGAGGAGAGGGTGGCAGATCCTCTTTCATTTGGCCTTAAGCACACCTCCCTCTTCGCCTCTCACCCTGAGCAGGGCTGGCGCCTGAGGCCGGTGAACACCTGTGGTGGTGGCTGTGGGACAGCATCTTCCCCTGCTCTTTCTCTTCCTTCTTCCCCTTGGCCACCCACACCCAGGCAGGTGTCCTCCCCAACCCCAGGACACTGCTCTTGGTGTTTCACAGGCACGTGTCCTCTTTTTCTGAAATTGACATTACCCAGTTCAACATCACCTACTTTACCGGAGTACTTTGGGCTCTTTCAAATCAATTTCCGCTTCGAAGGCTAAAGATTTGTCATCAGCTAAGAGGTTCAAAAGTCTGTGGTGTAGGCTCTCCAAAATTCTGGCAGAGGTCAGTTGACCCTGGCTTTTATGAAGGAGTCTTTGGCATTCATTCATTCATTCATTTATTGAAGAAATATGTATTGGACCTATTCATTGCATGAGGCACTTTCTAGACACTGGGGGTGAAATGTTGGCCAAAACAGATAAGGTCTCTGTTCTTATGAAGCTCACATTCATGTGATGAGAGGCTGACAATAATCAAGTAAACAAATAAATGATCAAGGTGACTTCAGATACTAATAGATGAGAGGGCGATGTGACAGATAGGGTCTGGGGAGCCACCTTTGAATTTGTGCTGAATTCTATCTGAAGATGCCTTCACTAAGAGAGAGGTGCTGTCTCCATGGCCTTTGAGGCCCTCCCCTCCAGTGGTGAGATTTTAACAATCTCCCCATCTGACAGGTTCCCATGCAGGAATGAAAGACATGGAAGGGAAGAGGGGGGCCAGCTCCCTGAGTCCTGTGTCCACCAGCTGCTGCTAAATACCTCTGAGAAACTCTGCTTCTATCTAAGGGGACCTACTTCTCTCGGGAATCTCAATACTTGGAACAAGAACCTCCTAGACGGACCCTTTGGCATAATGAATTGGACCAACTGTAGGTTCCAGGACTAGAGAGCCAGCAATGCCTCCATGAACAATCTCACCCAATTACTCTGCTCAGGTAAGACCAACTGAAAACTAGAACAATACAAATGGTGGTTATTCCTGTCTTCTGTTTCTTTGTTTGTTTTTGTGACAGGGTCTTGCTCTGTCACCCAGGCTAGAGTACAATGGTGTGATCATGGCTCACTGCAGCCTCGACTTCCCTAGCTTAAGTGATTCTCCTATCTCAGCCTCTCAAGGAGCTGGGACTACAGGCATGCAGTAGCACACCCAGCTAATTTTCGGATTTTTTTTTTTTAAAGTAGAGACAAGGTCTAGCTATATTGCCCAGGCTGGTCTCAAACTCTTGAGCTCAGGCGGTCCTCCTGCCTTGACTTCCCAAAGTGCTGAGATTATAGGCGTGAGCCACTGGGCCTGGCTCGTTATTACTGTTGAATAATAGTCTGATCACTGAGTTCTTAAACAACTCCATGAGGTAGGCATTCATATTCTGTCTGTTTCACAGATGAGGCTCAGAAAAGCTAAGTGTTTGTCCTAAGATCACAGTTAGGAAGTGTCTGAGACCCAGGTCACTGTGAGGGAAGAGAGAGACCCTCTCATATTGTTTTATATTGTTTTATACTCAGTACCTGTTTTAAGGAAAAACAACAAGGAAGTAAAACCAAAGACAGGCAGTCCGGCGCCAGGCCCGAAACCAGGCCTGGGCCTGCCTGGCCTAAACCCAGTAGTTAAAAATCAACTCATAACTTAGAAACTGATGTTATTCATAGATTCCAGACATTGTATAGAAGAACATTGTGAAACTCCCTGCCCTGTTCTGTTTCTCTCTGACCACCGGTGCATGCAGCCCCTGTCACATACCGCCTGCTTGCTCAAATCAATCATGACCCTTTCATGTGAAATCTTTAGTATTGTGAGCCCTTAAAAGGGACGGAAATTGTGCATTCGGGGAGCTCGGATTTTAAGGCAGTAGCCTGCTGATGCTCCCAGCTGAATAAAGCCCTTCCTTCTACAATTTGGTGTCTGAGGGGTTTTGTCTGCGGCTCGTCCTGCTACATTTCTTGGTTCCCTGACCAGGAAACGAGGTAACTGATGGACAGCCGAGGCAGCCCCTTAGGCGGCTTAGGCCTCCCCTGTGGAGCATCCCTGAGGCGGACTCCGGCCAGCCCGAGTGACGCGATCCAAAGAGCACTCCCGGGTAGGAAATTGCCCCGGTGGAATGCCTCACCAGAGCAGCGTGTAGCAGTTCCCTGTGGAGGATTAACACAGTGGCTGAACACCGGGAAGGAACTGGCACTTGGAGTCCGGACATCTGAAACTTGGTAAGACTAGTCTTTGGAACTTGCCCCACTCCATCTAGGTGGAAGTGTGGCCTGATCACCCACGACATGCCTGCATTGGCACTTCTGTTCTGGTTTTGACTTGACTTAGATTGTGTGATACTTTGGTTTTGGTTTTGGTTTTGACCTGGCTTGGATTTCTGGATACTCTGATTTTGGTTTTGATTTTGGTTTGGTGTAAACTGCAAGAGTGTGTATGCCCTTTTTACCTGTTTTTTTGTTTGTGGCATGTGTGTGGTGTGGGTGTGGTGTTTTGTCTCGAAGAAGCATGGGTCAGGTACAAATAAGCCCACCCCACTAGGAACTATGTTAAAAAAAAATTCAAGAAAGAATTTAAGGGAGATTACAGTGTTACTGTGACACCAGGAAAACTTAGAACTTTGTGTGAAATAGACTGGCCAGCATTAGAGGTGGGTTGGCCATCAGAAGGAAGCCTGGACAGGTCCCTTGTTTCAAAGGTATGACACAAGGTAACCCGTAAGCCAAGGCACCCAGACCAGTTTCCATACATAGAAAGTTACAGCTGCTTTTATACCCCCTTGCCCCGCCAACGTAGTTAAGAGAACAGCAGCATAAGCGGCTGGCAGAGGCAAGGAAAGACCAGTAGAGAGAAAAAAAGGCCATCTATACCAATTCTAAGTTAATTTAGACTAAACAAGGTCTTAATAGCAAAGGATAATTGAAATCCCAAACTTACAAGGTTTTCAACAAAAGTGAAGTTTGCTTAAAGTTAACAGTGTAACATGTATTATGGTAACTTCTAATCTTGTGGCCTTAGACAGTCTAGTCCAAAGGCATAAAGAAAGTTTGCTTTAAAAAAAAAAAAAAGGAATGGTTATCTTCAAAAAAAAAAAAAAGTGGGGGGAGACAGAATTTATGTAAAAAGAGTGTTATATGGTAAATTCTTGTCCTGAAATAAACTAACTGGTGTTTAAAGAAAAAAAATGTTTGTAATAAGTCAGAAAGTTGAGACACATTGAAGAATTGTCGGCAAAAGTCGTGAAAGAAAAAATGTTATAAAAAAATTTATGCAAAAAATGTTGTATAATTTAAAAGTAATAAGGCCTCCTGAGTACTATTAAAAAAACAGTTTATGTGCAAGGTGTATAAGAAAAGTAAAACATACCTTTGGTAAAAAGATTATAAAGGGGCATAAGAATGTGGATTTTTACCTACATTAAAAGGTTAAAAACAATTATTGTTTTAAAAGTTTAAGCAAGTTTTAAAACGTTAATTATAAAGAAAATTCTGTGTGTAAACATATTAGCTAAAGTTAAAAAGGTATCATCCAGTTTTTCTGTGAACTGGACATTAAAGTAAAAAATGCCACAGGTTTTTCTTAAAGCATCAACCTGCTCTTTAACAAAAATTATAAAAGGTTAAAAAGAGTCTATAAAATCTTACCTTATGGTCAAACATGAAAAATTGGATAAATATGTCTACAAGGTTTTATTAAAATTCAGTTTAAAATTAATAACACACTAATATAAAGGTAAAATTTAGCTTATCTGGTATAAAAATCATACAAGAAACATTATTAAATATAAAATGGTGTTTAGCTTTCTTTGGTCTAAAAACTAATAAAAATTGGTGCTAAAGGAAACATTCATTTTACTAGAGGATCATAAAAGTTAAAGACTTAAAACAAACTTTGGCAATTAAGACAGCACGCCAAGATGCAAGTGCCTGGCTGAAATGGATCAAATATTCCATCTGCACTTTAAACAAATGCAATTGTTATGCTTGTGCACATGGCAGGCCAGAGGCCCTGATTGTCCCCCTTCCACTAAGGTGGTCCTCCAGTTGACCAGGCATGGGCTGCAGGGTAGCTATTTTCCAGGTTTCTACAGCTTGGAGTAATAAGTCATGCCAAGCTCTCTCTGCTATATCCCAAAGTCCCTGCGGGTCAGCCCCTGAGGGCCGTCCAGCTTCCGTCTCCCAACACTAAGTTCACTTCATGTCTCTCATGGCAGGGAGGAGACTTAGCATTCCTTGGAGACCTGAAGGGATGCAGTGAGCTTAAGAATTTTCAAGAGCTTATCAGTCAGTCAGCCCTTGTTCATCCCCGAGCGGATGTGTGATGGTATTGTCGTGGACCTTTATTGGGCACTCTGCCGAATAACTAGAGTGGCACTTGTGCTTTAGCCTATTTGGCTATCCCTTTCACCCTGGCATTTCATCAACCAGAGGAAGGAAAAAAAAAATAATAAGACATCGTAAAGCGAGAGAAGCCCCTTATGGGTCTTTCAACTCTCACATCTATTTAGATGCAATCGAAGCCCCGCAAGGAACACCAGATCAATTTAAAGTCCGAAATCAAATAGCTACAGGATTTAAGTCAATATTTTGGTAGATGACAGTCAATAAAAATGTAGATTAGATAAACTGCATCTATTACACCCAACAGCAATGAGCTTTTCATGAGTTGAAAAAAAGAAAAAACCCATGTCGGCCCCAGCCCTGGGGCTACCTGACCTGACAAAACCTTTTACACTCTATGTGTCAGAAAGAGAAAAAGTGGCAGTTGGAGTTTTAACCCAGACTGTAGGGCCCTGGCCAAGGCCAGTGGCCTATCTCTCAAAACAACTAGATGAGGTTTCCAAACGCTGGCCCCCATGTCCAAAGTCCCTGGTAGCAATAGCCCTGTTAGCACAAGAAGCAGATAAGCTAACTCTTAGACAAAACCTAAACATAAAGTCCCCCTATGCTGTGGTGATTTTAATAAATACCAAAGGACACCATTAGCTAATGAATGCTAGACTAGCTAGATACCAAAGCTTGCTCTGTGAACATCCCCGCATAACCATTGAAGTTTGCAACACCTAAACCCCGCCACCTTCCTCCCGGTGTCAGAGAGCCCAGTTAAACATAACTGTGTAGAGGTATTGGACTCAGTTTATTCTAGTGGGCCTAACCACCGAGACCATCCTTAAACATCAGTAGACTGGGAGCTGTACATGGATGGGAGCAGCTTCACCAACCCCTGCAAAGTGACTCTGAAGAAGACGACAAGCCCTGCTCCAGTCACACCCGGAAGCTGACTGGTCCACGCACAGCTGAAGCATGAGGAAACTCATCGCGGGACTAATTTTCCTTAAAATTTAGACTTGCACAGTAAGGACTTCAACTGACCTTCCTCAGACTGAGAACTGTTTCCAGTATATACATCAAGTCACTGAGGTAGGACAAAAGATTGCTACATTCCTATTATTTTATGGTTATTATAAGTGTACCAGGACTCTAAAAGAAACTTGTTTGTATAATGCTATTCTATCCAAGGTATGTAGCCCAGGAAATAACCAACTTGATGCGTGTTATGACCCATTTTAAGCCTCCCATGATCACAGTTTTTAAAATACAATTAAGGACTGGTCCTTTTCTAGGTGACACAAGAAAGGTAATAGCTAGAACAGAAGAAAGAGGGGTCCCCAAAAATGTAACCTTAAAATTTGACACTTGTGCCACTATTGATAGTAAGCAGCATGGATGAGGATGTGGTTCTCTAAATTGGAAAAAAAAGTTACACAGTAAAAAAAAATAAGTATATCTGTCAAGAATCATATTTATGTGAGATGTGTCAATACTGGTCTTGCGTTATTTCGGCTACTTGAAAATAAGTTAAAAAAGATAGTGTTTGGTTCCAAAAAGGAAAAGTCAGCCTCTCCTGCATGAGTGGGAGCTGCAACCTTTTAGAATTGATAATCACAAACCCCTCAGACCCAAAGTGGAATAAAGAAAAATATGTAACATTAGGCATTGATGGAAAAGGACTAGATCCTAGTGTAAGCATCCTAATAAAAGGAGAGGTTCAAAAACGTTCTCCAGAACCAGTATTTCAGACTTTCTATGATGAACTAAATGTGCCAGTACCTGAGATTCCAGGAAAAACTAAAAATTTGTTTTTGCAATTAGCCAAACATGTAGCCCAGTCTCTACAAGTCGCCTATGTCATGTTTGTGGAGGAACCGTAACAGGAGATCAATGGCCATGGGAAGCCCGAGAATTGGTTCCTATAGACCCGGTTCCTGATGAATTCCCAGCCCAAAAGAACCACCCTGACAAATTTTGGGTTCTGAAAGTCTTATTATTGGACAGTATTGCATAGCTAGAGAAGGAAAAGGATTTACTCATCCTGTAGGGCAGCTTAGTTGTCTTGGGCAAAAGCTGTATAATGGTACCACAAAAACAGTTACATGGTGGAGTTCCAATTACACAGAAAAAAATCCATTCAGTAAATTTCCAAAGTTGCAGACTGTTTGGGCCCACCCAGAATTGCACTGGGACTGGACGGCCCCCACTGGGTTATACTGGGTATGTGGACACAGAGCTTATGCTAAGCTGCCTGATCAGTGGACAGGTAGCTGTGTAATTGGCACCATTAAGCCATCTTTCTTCTTAGTGCCCATAAAAACAGGTAAACTTCTGGGCTTCCCAGTCTGTGCTTCCTGTGAAAAATGAAGCATAGCCATAGGTGATTGGAAAGACGATGAATGGCCCCCTGAAAAAATCTTACAATACTATGGACCTGCCACTTGGTCACAAGATGTCTCATGGGGATATGGAACCCCCATCTACATGCTCAACCGAATCATATGGTTACAAGCTGTTTTAGAAATTATTACTAATAAAACCACTCAAGCCTTGACTGTTCTTGCCTGGCAAGAGACTATGATGAGAAATGCTATCTATCAAAATAGACTAGCTCTTGATTACTTGCTAGCAGCTGAAGGAGGAGTTTGTGAAAAATTTGACCTTACTAATTATTGTCTACACATAGATGATCAGGGGCAAGTAGTTGAGGATATAGTTAAAGATATAACAAAACTGGCACATGCACCTGTGCAAGTGTGGCACGGACTCAATCTGGGAGCCATGTTTGGAAATTGGTTCCCAGCAATAGGTGGATTTAAAACTCTTATAATAAGAGTAATAATAGTAATAGGAACCTGCTTACTGCTCCCTTGTCTGATACCTGTATTTCTCCAAATGATAAAAAACTTCGTCGCTTAACCTTAGTTCACCAAAATGCTTCAGCACAAGCATACTATATAAATCACTATCAATCTATTGCACGAAAATACATAAGTAGCAAAAATAAGAGTGAGAACTCCCACTGATAAAAAGTGAGAGTCTCAAAGAGGGGAAATGAGGGAAGAGAGAGACCCTCTCATATTGTTTTATATTGTTTTATACTCAGTACCTCTTTTAAGAAAAAAACAACAAGGAAGTAGAACCAAAGACAAGCAGCCCAGCGCCAGGCCCAAAACCAGGCCTGGGCCTGCCTGGCCTAAACCCAGTAGTTAAAAATCAACTCATAACTTAGAAACTGATGTTATTCATAGATTCCAGACATTGTATAGAAGAACATTGTGAAACTCCCTGCCCTGTTCTGTTTCTCTCTGACCACCGGTGCATGCAGCCCCTGTCACATACCGCCTGCTTGCTCAAATCAATCATGACCCTTTCATGTGAAATCTTTAGTATTGTGAGCCCTTAAAAGGGACGGAAATTGTGCATTCGGGGAGCTCGGATTTTAAGGCAGTAGCCTGCTGATGCTCCCAGCTGAATAAAGCCCTTCCTTCTACAATTCAGTGTCTGGGAGGTTTTGTCTGCGGCTCGTCCTGCTACAACTGGACTTTAAATCTCAAGCACTTTCATGACATCCTCCTTTGTTCTTCTTGCTCCTACCCACCTCCTCTGCCTGCCCAGGATAGGTACTTGCCTTTCTGGCCCTGGATAGACACCCTCATGCTATCTCCCTCCTGCCGTAACAGGTGTGCTCCACTCCCACCAGCCTGCCCCAGCTGGAGACCCAAGTTCCCTTCTCATTGCTCAGGGTTTAGGTGTGTCATCTGCCTCACCCCACTCCCCCATACATCATGCCCTGTGACTTGATGCTTCATCTTGCATGGTTCATGACTGGCACCATGGGCACTGGAAAGGTGTGGTTTCCAAGACCCCTTCCTACCCTCCATCCAGTAGCTGTCAAAGGGAAACTTGGTGAGGTCAGCTCTCTCACTCAGAAGGGAGACAGGGAAAAAGGCAGAAAGGAAGGGAGCTGTTAGGATACCCAACAGAATCCCATCTGGCCTTGGTGCCCCTAAAGGCTGTAAAACTTGGTACTTTTGTGTTCCCAGATGCTATTTATCCAAGGTGGCTAGTAAATTGCCTTAGTGATCCAATGGGTTCCCCCCACCCCACCTTGGCCACAGTCTCTGCATTGCACAGCCAGCTCCCCAAGACATGTGGCCTGAGGGGTGCTATCTGCTATAGGGCTGAATCATGCAGCTTCACTTTATGGGGAAGAAACAGGAAGGAGACTGAATGCAGATAAAGAGAGCTTTGGGTTTGGAGTCAAAATGCCTGACTCCAGTCCTGGCTACAGCACTTGCCTCAGGCAAGTGCCTTCCCCTGAGATTCCTCACCTATACAATGGGAGGGTTTAAGATTCCTTTTAGCTCTGAGAATCTATGGACAGAATGTGGCTGGAGAGGGGATGGACTTTGTGTCTCCATCCCTCGAGGCAGGAGAAATTCTTTCCTGGTGTGAATAATTCTCCCCTTCCCCACCAGAGCATGGGCAGGCTCCCACGCCTGCCACCTCTTCCTAGCCGTAGCTCTACTGGCCTTGCTTATGTCCTGATCCTGTCAACCCCTCTCACATGCCCTCCCCCAGGTACCTAGCACTGCACATCCTGGTTATCTCTTTTTCTGGACCTCCTGTCATATCTGCTAACCCTTGGTAAGAATGGTAGAGCTCTGGAGTGAAACAATCACATGGAGGCAGCAGAATATACTGTGTATGAACACACGACTTAAAGTCAGAGAGATGGAGGTTTATGTCCAAACTCTGCCACTTACCAGCCCTATGACCCTGAGCAAGTGTGATCCTCAAGAACTGTTTTTCTTTACTGTATAATAGGAATAATGATTGTTCCTATCTCAGGTCTATATATGAAGATTAAACAAGATAATGAATGTGCCCAATATATACTAAGTTCACAATAAACAGTAGCTAATATTACCATTTAGGATTCTGTAGAGCTCATTTGCATAGGTGTGCAAGAATTACCTTCCTATCTCCTTCGTATTACTTTCCTCTCCTTCCCCTTATGCAGAGAACATCACCACCCTGAAGCCAGAGACTAACACTGCAGGACTCAGCAGGTGGGTGAGAGAAGGGCTGGATCCATGAAGGAGGAAGGTGGGCTCCTGGGGAAGGATCTGTGGGGATTGGTGTGAGTGGGGGCCATGGTGATGGAGGCTAGAGCTGAAAAGAGGGGCTAAAATGGAGGCAGGAGATGGTTGGCCACTAAGGAGGTGAAGCCTGGAAGTGGGAGAGCTTCTACATGGGTGAGGAGGCCCCAGGGCACTTTTGTGGAGGGTCACCAAAGCCAGCCAGAGCAGCTGGATGGTCCTCATGTCTCTTAGTTGCTTCCTTCAGCCTAAGCACAGCAGCCACAGCCCTTTCTGGCTCCATTGCTGTGGTGTCCCTCATCTTGCTCCTGGTGGGTCTCTTGTCCATGACCCTGAAGAAATGGAGGCAAGAGAGTGAGTTGAACAAGCTGGCCCTGGAACTGGGAATGAAGAGAGGAGAAACTGGGGGCAGAGATTGGGGTGTTTTTCCTATGGGGCAGTCTTGTCGGGGAGGGGAGCGGGTAGTGGGAGGGTAATATGAAGGAGATATGAAGATAAGACCTCTTCTCTAGACTTGCTGGGGACTCTGTACACAGCAATAAGAATTACTCATCACACAAGTTCTTCATGCTGAAAGCTATATATAGTATAAGCCATCTGCATATATGCTTATGGCCTATATGCCTCAGCTAAAAGAAATACTGATGCCAAATAATCTCTTCTAAATAATAAACAAAATTATAAATTATAAAGCGTACTCATTTCCCCTGTGTCTTCCTGGGAATTTAACTTAGTCTCAGAGGCCCAATGGGCTGAGTGTGGTGGATTTTGCATTTCAAAGTTAAGCCCTAAACCCAGCAAACAACCAAGTAAAGATGGTTATTAACCCAACTCAGACTGACTCTGAGTTTATCCATTTTTCTAGGACTATTTAAGAAACAACTGAGGCATCAGACCAACTTTCCCCACAAGTCCTCGGTAAGGAACTAGTCCAGTCGCATGTAGAGAGGGGGATCCTGGCCTTCTGGCTGCTTCCTTACCTAGACCCCACACAGAGGGTGGTGGGAGGAGGCGGGGGGCAGATCTGGAGGAAATGCCTATGAAAACTGAGATCTAGGGCTTGTGCAGCAAGAACTCAGCATTCTACTTGCTGTCCTGTAGGGACAGCCCAATGCCTTGTTTTGTCTTTGGAAGTCCCTGGTGCCCAGCCATCTGCCTCTAACCAGGGTTCTATCTCTAAAGGATCTTTCCTGCCATGCTGATGCCATATATTCCAACGTGATCAACCTGGCTCCCCAGAAGGAGGACGACTTTGCTGTCTACACCAACATGCCCCCTTTTCATCACCCCAGGAGGACATTGCCAGACCAAGTGGAATATGTCTCCATTGTATTCCACTGATGGGAAGCTAATGAGATGCTCAGAGTGGGGGTCAGACCTGGCCCCAGCTGAATCTTGGCATACCCTTTGCTTTAGATTTATGTGTGTGTTTAAAAAAAAAAAAATACATAGGCCAGGCACGGTGGCTCACACCTGTATCCCAGCACTTTGGGAGGCTGAGGCAGGCAGATCACCAGGTCAAGAGATCAAGACCATCCTGGCCAACATGGTGAAACCCCGTCTCTACTAAAGATACAAAAATTAGCCAGGTGTGGTGGTGCATGCCTGTAATCCCAGCTACTTGGAAGGCTGAGGCAGGAGAATCACTTGAACCCAGGGGGCGGAAGTTGCAGTGAGCCAAGATCACACCGCTGCACTCCAGCCTGGCAACAGAGTGAGACTCCATCTCTAAAAAAAGTAAATAAATAAAAATAAAACGTAAAACATATTCTGATGGAGGTGGATGGCTAGACATTTCTTCTGATTTATTAGAATCAAAGTACTGTTCTAATAGAAAGGAGTGACATACAAGAAACACAGGACATGCTCGTCCAGATCACCCCCAGCCCCAGAGGCAGGCTCCTGAGACAGCCTGGCCAACAAGGAAGCCCTCTGAGCTCCTGCCCCTCCTGAGGCAAAAGGGCCGAGGAGGGGGATTCAGACCATTTCAGGTCCAGCTGCTTTTGTCTCTCCAGTCTTACCCTGTCAGGAGTTAACACCCCATGGGTGTCAACTTAGGAGTCATGCTTGTATCTGTGATCACGTGCATGGCTGACTGCCTCGTGTGTCTGCACAATACAACTGCTGGACAATATGCCAGATGTGGAGGAGGAGGCATAGGGGGGCTGCAGGTGCCTGGGAAGTGCTTCTTACTGAGGAACTTGGTGAGCTCCCAGGAAGCATGGGGGCCACCTGAGAAAGGGGACGGGGGAGGAGTGCCAAGCGGGAAGTGGGCTGTGTGTCACCACTGGCCAGGAACAGCTCCCGTGGGAACTGTGGTAGATGACTGGAACTTTACAATTGATTTACTCCTTCTTTTCGTCATTCACAAGTAGTCATTAAGCACTTCCGTGATCTAGGTCCTGGGAATACAGCAGTGATCCCAACAGACAAAGCCTTGTCCTCACAGAGCTTACCTTCTAGAACGAACAAAGAAACACATAAACACACAAAATGTCAGATGGTGGGATGTGCTACGGGGAAATAAAGCAAGCATTCCCTACCCTACACTTCCTTGTAAGAGGTAAGAGTGGGTTGCTAGTTTGTATCAGGTGTTCAGGGAAGGCCTTACTGACATTTGACCTAAAAGAAAGGTAAGAATGTGACACCTGATGATAAATAGGGAAAGAGTATTTCAGGCAGGAGGAATGGCAGTGCAAAGGCCCTGAGGTAGACGTGTACCTGACATGGTCAAAGAAAAGCGAGGAGATGAATGTGTCTGGAATGGAACTGGGGGGTTGCAAGGATCACAGCAAAGATGTGGGGAGAGTCAGGGTTCTTCACTATTAGGAGGGGGCTTGGAAAACGGCAAGTTTCAAGCATGGCTTGTGTTTTAAAAAGATTTTTCTGCCTCTC